>NC_000006.12:7787272-7938787 GCF_000001405.40 Homo sapiens | reverse complement strand
GAGTTCTGAGCAGTTCAGGACTTCAGGTTGTTCTCCTTCTGGACAGCAGGACAGTGCTGGAGCTCTCTTAGCTCCTCGGTCTTGTCTTGTGTTGTGTTAAAAAAGTGCAGAGAGGGGAATAAAAAGAGGAAGTTCACCAGGACAGCAGAAAAAAGGTGCCTCCGTGCCACTGCACTCCAGCCTGGGGGACAGAGTGAGACTCCGTCTCAAACAACAACAACAAAAAAAGGCGCCTCCTTCAAAGAGCCGTGTATCCCTAGGCAGAAGCCATCTAGTTGGAGCCAGCAATGATTCATTCCTGGGATTCACGTCTCCTTCCAAAATGGAAGGATATTCGGAGGCTCGGTATTGCCAAGTGAGGGAAGATTTGGAGGTGGTTTACTTTGCTGGGGCTGCCATAACAAAGTACGCGAGACTGGGTAGCTCAAACACCAGGGTTGGTTTCTCCTGAGGCCTCTCTCCTTGGCTTGTAGATGACATCTTCTCCCCATGTCCCCATGTGGTCTTCCCCCTGTGATTCTGTGTCCTAATCCCCTACTTGTAAGGACACCAGTCATACTGGCTGAGGACCCACCCACCCTAATTGTCTCCCTTTAACTTAATTATCTCTGTAGAAAACCTGAGGTCCTGGGGGTTAGGACTTCTACTTTTGAATTTGGGAGGGGCACAACATAGCCCATAACAGAGAGCATCTTCAGAGTCCGTGTCTCCTGCAGCTAAACTCAGGCACGCTTTTGGCCTCACCGGACAGGATTGCCATGGTGTGACTAGGAAGGACCACTCGAGAATCTCGGGCCAGGTGCGTGGCTCAGGCCTGTAATCCAGCAACTTTGGGAGGCTGAGGCCAGCGGATCATTTGAGTTCCAGACCAGCCTGGCCAACATGTTGAAACCCCGTCTCTACTAAAAATAAAAAAATTAGCCTGGTGTGGTGGTGCGCACCTGTAATTCCAGCTACTCTGGAAGCTGAGGCAGAAGAATTTCTTGAACCTGGGAGGCGGAGGTTGCAGTGAGCCGGGATTGCACCACTGCACTCCAGCCTGGGCAACAGAGTGAGACTCTGTCTCAATTAAAAAAAAAAAAAAAGAATATCAAGGATGACACCATTTGGGTTTGTCTTTAGAGCTCGACTGTAAAATTCCATCACTAGCCTTATTTGCATTTAAAAACTGCTTATCGTCCTACACAAGGGACAAAGTTTAGAACTGCTATGGAAAATTTTTTTTCCTAGGGGAAGAGTTAATTTCTCCCTTCACTTCTGCCAACAGAAGTTTCCAGGGTGTAGGGCACTTCTTAAAGTCCTTATGAGGTCCTCATTATTGTGTCTATTTTGCAGACAAAAAACTTTGCCAGCAAGTCTTTGGCAGAGACAGCCCTGTAACTCAGAAATTCCAGACTCCAGCCTCAGTGACACAGATGTGAGCAGTGGTAGCTGCTACCACTGCCGACGAGTAGCTCTTTCTGGTGGGGTCCCTGGAGCTGCTCGGCTGAACATAGCAACACAACACACCTCAGAACCCCACGACTCTTCCTTTGATACAAAAGGGAGGTTGCTGCTGTGGGTGTCAGGGTTTGGCTGGAGCAACAAAAATCACATTTATGTTTATGAAAAATTGCAGAGAGTTTTTTTAATTGAGCAGAAAAATTATACTTACATCACTGAGGTTTGTCCATCATTAAATGCATGTGGTATATTTTATATTATGTCTGACCTAGGTGTGTGAGGCTGTAGATTCTTCTGTGTTTAAACACTGAGCAAGGAGGCACAACTGAGTAAATACTAGGTATCCAAGACCTGATTTTTTATGAACTTGGCTTCACAGTTCTCCCATTATTAGTAAGTCTGAAGACTTAGGATATTACATTGATTTTGTTACCTGAATGCAATCAGTTGTTAAAGTTTCTTAACCTTTTATGTTTACACATATGGATTAAAAAGAGAAGATAAAGAAGATAACAAAGACATAGCCACAGGAGATGAAATATGGAATAAAGGCTGGGTGCGGTGGCTCATACCTGTAATCCTAGGACTTCAGGAGACCAGTGGCGGATCATCTGAGGTCAGGAGTTTGAGACCAGCCTGGCCAGCTGATGGAAATCTGTCTCTACTAAAAATACAAAAATTAGTTGGGCGTGGTGGTGGGCACCTGGAATACCAGCTATTTGGGAGGCTAAGGCAGGAGAATCACTTGAACCCAGGAGGCAGAGGTTGCAGTGAGCCGAGACTGCACCATTGTACTCTAGCCTGGGCAACAAGAGAGAAACTCTGTCTCAAAAAAAAAAAAAAAGAAAGAAAGAAAGAAAGAAAAAGAAAAAAAGAAATATGGACTAAAATTCTCTAAAAAAAGATTTTTATTTCTATGGAGTTATAACTTCACTAAACAGCAAAGAGAGAAGAAGAGAAAATATACTTGTTAAATTTTTAAAAATATTTTTGTAAGTTTTTCATAAGAGATTCTGTTTATAAGTAACTTTGAAATTAATTTTATTGTCTTTGGTACCAGAAATTTTGACTCAAACAAAGAAAGTTTGGATATGTGCATTAAGTGAAATAGATGTGTTGAGTGATGCAGTATCCTTCGGAAGTAAAAAGGAATAAACTGATGCATCTTTAGACATTTGAATGTCAAGCACTGAGAAGTTGCCTTTTTTCAGAGACAGGTGTTAATTTACTCTGAATTAGTGTACATATAATAAGTGGTAGGATATTTCTAAATCAGCTATTTATTAAATAAAATACAATAGGGACTGTGGAGTCTTTCACTGGTTAGTGAAGGTATTAAAGTTTGCTCAAACTTCTTAATTTAAAGCAAATAAATTTACAAATAGATTAATTGTGAAGGCAGTGTCCAGTTTACAGTCCATATACTCTACAATGCAAAAATAATAAAAATTCTAAATTTTCAGGTTTAGAATGTGCAATTTGGAAGGTTCATATAGTTTAAGAGAAAAGGAAGGGAAAAAAAACCGTTGTAATCACCACACCTAAGATAATTATGCTTTTTTACTTTTTCATTTTGAGACAGAGTCTCATTGTGTCACCCAGGCTGGAGTGCAGTGGCACAATCTTGGCTCACTGCAACCTCCACCCCCCTGGCTCAAGCAATTCCCCTGCCCCAGCCTCCCGAGTAGCTGGGATTACAGGTGCATGCCACCACGCCTGTCTAATTTTTTTGTATTTTTAGTAGAGATGGGGTTTCACTGTGTTGGCCAGACTGGTCTTGAACTCCTGACCTCAGGCAATCCACCTGCCTTGGCCTCCCAAAGTGCTGGGATTACAGGCATGAGCCACCATGCCCGGCCTGCTCTTTCATTTGAAAAAGATGTTCTGGTCTCTCAGGTAAAGATGTTTGGGTTGGGGACACAATTTATTTCTAAACACTAATTCCACAACCAATTCTACATAAATAACCTAAGAAAAGTAAATTTAGCAAAAGCCTCTACTTATACAGAAATCTAAGGAAGAAAATCATTAAAACGGCAGAAAGAAGTCCCACCTTGAGGGATGACACAGCCTCCCGGGAAGTGATGGGCAAAGTTCTGTTCCCTGTGAATCTCTAGGCTTGGAGGGCAGAGTTCTGGAGGAAAGAGTGGGCTGCGAAACTCACCTGGGGCTATGGTCTGAATGTTTGTGTCCCTACCAAATTCATATGTTGAAACCTAATCACCAGTGTGCTGGTATTAGGAGGTGAGTCTTTGGGAGGTGGTGAGATCATGAGGGTGGAGTGCTTGTGAATGGGATTAGTGCCCTTATAATAGAGGCCAGAGAGCTGCCTTCCCCTTTTCACTATGTGAGGACACAGTAAGAAGGCACCATCTGTGAAACAGCAAGAAGACCTCCCTAGAAACTGAATCTACCAGCACCTTGACCTTGGACTTCCCAGCCTCCAAAACTGTGAGCAATAACTTTCTGTTGTTTCTAAGCCACCCAGTCTGGTGGTATTGTTACAGCAGCCCGAATGAACTAAGATACCTGGAAAGCTCCAGGTGAAGGGAGTCTAGGTATGTGGACTGCCAGGATCCCTGTTTTGGGGGTCAATGCAGGAACTCAGAGGTCCAGATGACTGCAATTAGTGAAGAACTGTGGTTCTGTGGCTCTGGGGAGAGGAACTTACGCTTTTCCCAGTGTAAAGATGATCCTAACTGTGGTGATGAGCAGCCTGGTAAAACTGTGCGGGAGGCTGCAGAGAGAGGACCCCCCACACTGAACAAGAAGCTGCTGGTCCTGGTGGGAGCAGCATCCCTGGATGGGGGCTCACAGAAAGGCCAGTCTTTGTTGACACAGTGAAAGCTATATAGAAAAACGAGGCTGAACAGGTAGATACATATGTGCCAGATTGGAGGCCTGGCCACAACAAGCCTGCTACTAGGCAGAGTGGCTTCACTATGAACAGAGGGGCAATGACACAAAGTTCCCTACGCGGCACAGCCTGTGGCTCAAATGCTGTCCGCTGTCCTCAAACGGATCGACGGATTAACGATAATCAGTAAGCAAGAACAAAACTAACATGGTGTCTAGGAAAAGATTCTTTATCATGACATCCCACCAGTAAGATTCAGAGATTCCAGACTCCTGGAATATTTTTGAAATATTTTTGAAGTCTATTTTTGAAAAATATTGTTGGCAAAAAATAAATTTCAGACAGCATCTGCTTTTTACTCTCCACGGCATTCTAGAAATATGATCTCCCTAAAGTAAGATGAACCGTGAGAGGACATGTCAACAGAAGATTCAGTTGAGACGTAAGCAGAACCATAAAGGGAAGTAAGGGGGCACTGAAGAAGTGTTTTAGAGCTGTACAGATAACACTAAAGTTTCAAAATGCATCAGAACCAGTAGAGCAGAATCAACCCTGCCAAGAACTATTTCAGTCATACAGAAGAGAGCCCAGAGAAAAAAAATATATGCCATAATGCAAAAAACTAATGCCAAAAAAAGGAGAAAAGAATATGGGGTATTTCATGGCCATATGATGGAGATAAAACATGTGGATAATTGGTATTTATGAAGAAAACACCAGAACAAATGGAATAAAAATTAATATTTAAAGACATATAAAAGTCCTAGAAACCTAAATATTTCCATTAAAATAGCTCACTGGGTACTGGGCAAAATGAAGAGAGTCAAACACTGAACATACCCTGATCAAAGTTGAAATTTATTTATAAATAAAGAACATCCTGAAACAAGGTCATACACCAAAAAAAAAAAAAAAAAAGAGAGAGAGAGATTGGAAAGGGAAATATAGATTGGTCTCAAATAATATAGATGCTAAAATCAGTGAAGCAACCAACATTTGTAGAATTCTGAGGGAGAAACTTTGTGACCCAAAGTTCCTTACATAGCCAAGCTGGTTTTCACCTGTCAAGAACAGAGAAAGCTTTTCAAAGATTCAAGGGCTCATGAATAAATAGTCCATGTATTATTCATGGAGGGAAGAGCTCTCAGAGAAGTAACCTCTTGCTGCTCAAACTGTGGACCACGGCGCAACAGCATCTCATCACCTGGGAGCTTGTTAGAAAACCAGAAACTCAGGCTTCACCCCAGACCTATGAATCAGAACCTGCAATCTATCAAGATCTCCATGTGATTTATATGCATATTAAGGTTTGAGAAGGACTGCTGTAGTAAACCAAGTAATTAATCACACTGTAAAACCCTCAAAACAGTGAAGTCATAGTTGAGGACTGTAGTGAACATTTAACTTAAGTAACCATAGAATCAAATATTAATAAATGTATATTGAAGGTCTACATGTATGTTAATATAATTGCAGGGCAATTCTTCTGGTGGCTTTGGATTAACCCAACCTTCTTCGCTTTTTGCTTATGGTTCTCAAGAATAATTGTAGAATGTGCTGAGAATGCAGTATTCTGAGATGGAGGGAACTGCCTGAAGCAGCCTGGGCCTTGCTCCTGTCCCTCCTAGAGACTGTAACACCTTGAGTTATGGAGGAACTGCCCAGGACAGCCCAGGCTTTGTGCCTCTCTCCCTAGAAGCAGGATGTCTTTCAAAGCTTTAGCCTAGTATGACACATTGCCCCTGAGATATATAATCCAGGGAGGGCTGCCTTTCAGGGCCCCTCAGCTGCGGTGCAAGTGAAGCATGTAGCTTCAAGACTCCATCTCTCCAAGCAGCTTTCCTGAGCCCTGGGAGACCAGCTCACAAGGGAGCCTAGGCTTATGTTGCCTCTTGCTGCCTATCTGCAAGTAATAAACTCACTTCGTATAACTTGCTGCATGTGAGCATGTTCTGTCTCACTGGACTCAGGCAAGTTGGGAACCAGTGCACAGTGAACCTACTTCACAATAACATAAAATAGTAACTTGAAAATAAATATTGTCCAAAATCTAACATAAACAGAGAGGAAGAAAGGGTAGGTGACAGGAAATAAAATGAGCCTATTGTGTCGTCTAGTTCAAAGATATTCAATAGAGTTCTTAATCTTGGGATGTTGTATTCTTGGAATTGGTAGACATATATATTCAATGATGTTCTTGAAGCTTTTAAAGGTGAATGATGCCAAATTACAAATTAGCTATATAAAAAACTATTTCAAAGGAAGAAAATTTATATAATATAAAAAATAAAGAAATAAAAAATGAAGAATGAATCAGAACACATTATTTGTGAAAACAAATGTAAATGGGATAAACTCTCCCTATTCAAAGAAGTAGGCAGATTTTTGTCACTGAAAATAGTTTTATTACTCATCTTTAATATAAAGAAAATAGAAAATACAAAGCAGAAACATCATTACACACAAAGAATCATTATACACAAAGAATCATTGTAAATGTTCTGATGATCATCTTTCCAAAACACAGACCAATTAGTTTTTACAAATGACACCATGCTATGCATACATTTTTAAAACCTACCTATTGAATAAGATGTGCCTAGGTATATATTTTGTTGTTGTTGTTATTTATTTATTTTTTTACTTTACCCTAAGCCTTTTTTTTTGTATATATACTTTAAGTTCTAGGGTACATGTGTACAACGTACAGGTTTGATACATAGGTATACATGTGCCATGTTGGTGTGCTACACCCATTAACTCGTCATTTACATTAGGTATTTCTCCTAATGCTATCCCTCCCCCAGCACCCCACCGCCCTGACAGACCCTGGTGTGTGATGTTCCCCTTCCTGTGTCCATGTGTTCTCATTGTTCAGTTCCCACCTACGAGTGAGCACATGCAGTGTTTGGTTTTCTGTCCTTGTGATAGTTTGCTGAGAATGATGGTTTCCAGCTTCATCCATGTCCCTGCACAGGACATGAACTCATCTTTTTTTATGGCTGCATAGTATTCCATGGTGGGTATGTGCCACATTTTCTTAATCCAGTCTATCATTGATGGACATTTGGGTTGGTTCCAAGTCTGTGCTATTGTGAATAGTCCCACAATAAACATACATGTGCATGTGTCTTTATAGTAGCATGATTTATAATCCTTTGGATATATACCAAGTAATTAGATTGCTGGGTCAAATGGTAATTCTAGTTCTAGATCCTTGAGGAATCGCCACACTGCCTTCCACAATGGTTGAACTAATTTACACTCCCACTAACAGTGTAAAACCATTCCTATTTCTCCACATCCTCTCCAGCATCTGCTGTTTCCTGACTTTTTAATGATTGCCATTCTAACTGGTGTGAGATGGTATCTCATTGTGGTTTTGATTTGCACTTCTCTGATGACCAGTGATGATGAGCATTTTTCATGCGTCTGTTGGCTGCATAGATGTCTTCTTTTGAGAAGTGTCTGTTCATATCCTTTGCCCACTTTTTGATGGCGTTGTTTGTTTTTCTCTTGTAAATTTGTTTGAGTTCTTTGTAGATTCTGGATATTAGCCCTTTGTCAGATGGGTAGATTGCAAAATTTTTCTCCCATTCTGTAGGTTGCCTGTTCACTCTGATGGTAGTTTCTTTTGCTGCGCAGAAGCTCTTTAGTTTAATTAGATCCCATTTGTCAATTTTGGCTTTTGTTGCCATTGCTTTTGGTGTTTTAGTCATGAAGTCCTTGCCCATGCTTATGTCCTGAATGGTATTGCCTAGGTTTTCTTCTAGGGTTTTTATGGTTTTAAGTCTAACACTTAAGTCTTTAATCCATCTTGAATTAATTTTTGTATAAGGTGTAAGGAAGGGATCCAGTTTCAGCTTCCTACATATGGCTAGCCAGTTTTCCCAGCACCATTTATTAAATAGGGAATCCTTTCCATATTGCTTGTTTTTGTCAGGTTTGTCAAAGATCAGATGGTTGTAGATGTGTGGCAATATTTCTGAGGCCTCTGTTCTGTTCCATTGGTCTATATATCTGTTTTGGTACCAGTACCATGCTGTTTTGGTTACTGCAGCCTTGTAGTATAGTTTGAAGTCAGGTAGCGTGATGCCTCCAGCTTCATTCTTTGTGCATAGAATTGTCTTGGCAATGCGGGCTCTTTTTTGGTTCCATATGAAGTTTAAAGTAGTTTTTTCCAATTCTGTGAAGAAAGTCATTGGTAGCTTGATGGGGATGGCATTTAATCTATAAATTACTTTGGGCAGTATGGCCATTTTCATGATATTGTTTCTTCCTATCCGTGAGCATGGAATATTCTTCCATTTGTTTGTGTCCTCTTTTATTTCATTGAGCAGTGGTTTTTATTTCTCCTTGAAGAGGTTCTTCACATCCCTTGTAAGTTGGATTCCTAGGTATTTTATTCTCTTTGTAGCAATTGTGAATGGGAGTTCACTCATGATTTGGCTCTCTGTCTGTTAATGGTGGATATGAATGCTTGTGACTTTTGCACATTGATTTTGTATCCTGAGACTTTGCTGAAGTTGCTTATCAGCTTAAGGAGATTTTGGGGTTTTCTAAATATACAATCATGTCATCTGCAAACAGGGACAATTTGACTTCCTCATTTCCTAATTGAATACCCTTTATTTCTTTCTCTTGCCTGATTGCCCTGGCCAGAATTTCCAACACTATGTTGAGTAGGAGCAGTGAGAGAGGGCATCCCTGTCTTGTGCCAGTTTTCAAAGGGAATGCTTCCAGTTTTTGCCCTTTCAGTATGATATTGGCTGTGGGTTTGTCATAAATAGCTCTTATTATTTTGAGATGTGTCCCATCAATACCTAGTTTATTGAGAGTTTTTAGCATGAAGGGCTGTTGAATTTTGTTGAAGGCCTTCTCTGCATCTATTGAGACAATCATGTGGTTTTTGGCATTGGTTCTGTTTATGTGATAGATTATGTTTATTGATTTGCATATGTTGAACCAGCCTTGCATCCCAGGGATGAAGCAACTTGATCATGGTGGATAAGCTTTTTGATGTGCTGCTGGATTCTGTTTGCCAGTATTTTATTGAGGATTTTCGCATTGATGTTCATCAGGGATATTGGTGTAAAATTCTCTTTTTTTGTTGTGTCTCTGCCAGTCTTTGGTATCAGGATGATGTTGGCCTCATAAAGTGAGTTAAGGAGGATTCTCTCTTTTTCTATTGATTGTAATAGTTTCAGAAGGAATGGTATCAGCTCCTCTTTGTACCTCTGGTAGAATTCAGCTGTGAATCCATCTGGTCCTGGACTTTTTTTGGTTGGTAGGCTATTAATTATTGCCTCAATTTCAGAGCCTGTTATTGTTCTATTCAGAGATTCAGCTTCTTCCTGGTTTAGTCTTGGGAGGGTGTATGTGTCCAGGAATTTATCCATTTCTTCCAGATTTTCTAGTTTATTTGCATAGAGGTGTTTATAGTATTCTCTGATGGTAGTTTGTATTTCTGTGGGATCGGTGGTGATATCCCTTTTATCATTTTTTATTGCGTCTGTTTGATTCTTCTCTCTTTTCTTCTTTATTAGTCTTGCTAGCGTTTTATCAATTTTGTTGATCTTTTTAAAAAACCGGCTCCTGAATTCATTAATTTTTTGAAGGGTTTTCTGTGTTTCTATCTCTTTCAGTTCTGCACTGATCTTAGTTATATCTTGCCTTCTGCTAGCTTTTGAATTTGTTTGCTCTTGCCTCTCTAGTCCTTTTAATTGTTATGTTAGGATGTCAATTTTAGATCTTTCCTGCTTTCTCTTGTAGGCATTTAGTGCTATACATTTCCCTCTACACACTGCTTTAAATATGTCCCAGAGATTCTGGTATGTTGTGTCTTTGTTCTCATTGGTTTCAAAGAACATCTTTATTTCTGTCTTCATTTTGTTATTTACCCAGTAGTCATTCAGGAGCAAGTTGTTCAGTTTCCATGTAGTTGTGCAGTTTTGAGTGAGTTTCTTAATCCTGAGTTCTAATTTGATTGCACTGTGGTCTGAGAGACAGTTTGTTGTGATTTCTGTTCTTTTACGTTTGCTGAGGAGTGCTTTACTTCCAACTATGTGGTCAGTTTTAGAATAAGTGTGATGTGGTGCTGAGAAGAATGTACATTCTGTTAATTTGGGGTGGAGAGTCTGTAGATGTCTATTAGGTCTGCTTGTTGCAGAGCTGAGTTCAGGTCCTGGATATCCTTGTTAACCTTCTGTCTTATTGATCTGTTTAATATTGACAGTGGGGTGTTAAAGTCTCCCATTATTATTGTGTGGGAGTCTAAGTCTCTTTGTAGGTCTATCAGAACTTGCTTTATGAATCTGGGTGCTCCTGTATTGGGTGCATATATATTTAGGATAGTTAACTTTTTGTTGAATTGATCCCTTTACCATTATGTAATGGCCTTCTTTGTCTCTTTTGATCTTTGTTGGTTGAAAGTCTGTTTTATCAGAGACTAGGATTGCAACCCCTCCTTTTTTTTTTTTTTTTTTTTTTTGCTTTCCATTTGCTTGGTAGATCTTCCTCCATTCCTTTATTTTGAGCCTACGTGCGTCTTTGCACGTGAGATGGGTGTCCTGAATACAGCACACTGATGGGTCTTGACTCTTTATTCAATTTGCCAGTCTGTGTCTTTTAATTGGAGCATTTAGCCCATTTACATTTAAGGTTAATATTGTTATGTGTGAAGTCTATCCTGTCATTATGATGTTCACTGGTTATTTTGCCTGTTAATTGACGCAGTTTCTTCATAGCATCAATGGTCTTTACAATTTGGCATGTTTTTGCAGTGGCTGGTACCAATTGTTTCTTTCCATGTTTAGTGCTTCCTTTAGGAGCCCTTGTAAGGCAGGCCTGGTGGTGACAAAATCCTCAGCATTTGCTTGTCTGTAAAGGATTTTATTTATCCTTCATTTATGAAGCTTAGTTTGGCTAGATATGAAATTCTGGGTTGAAAATTCTTTTCTTTAAGAATGTTGAATATTGGCCCCCACTCTCTTCTGGCTTGTAGAGTTTCTGCCAAGAGATCAGCTGTTAGTCTGATGGGCTTCCCTTTGTGGGTAACCTGACCTTTCTCTCTGGCTGCCCTTAACACTTTTTCCTTCATTTCAACCTTGGTGAATCTGACAATTATGTGTCTTGGGGTTGCTTTTCTCGAGGAGTATCTTTGTGGTGTTCTCCGTATTTCCTGAATTTGAATGTTGGCCTGCCTTGCTAGGTTGGGGAAGTTCTCCTGGATAATATCCTGCAGAGTGTTTTCCAACTTGGTTCCATTCTCCCCATTACTTTCAGGTACACCAATCAAATGTAGATTTGGTCTTCTCACATAGTCCCATATTTCTTGGAGGCTTGGTTTGTTTCTTTTTACTCTTTTTTCTCTAACCTGTCTTCTCACTTTATTTCATTGGTTTGATCCTCAATCGCTGACACCCTTTCTTCCACTTGATCAAATCGGCTATTGAAGCTTGTGCATGTGTCATGAAGTTCTCGTGCCATGGATTTCAGCTTCAGGTCATTTAAGGTCTTCTCTACACTGTTGATTCTAGTTAGCCATTCATGTAATCTTTTTTCAAGATTTTTAGCTTCCTTGCAATGGGTTCGAACATCCTCCTTTAGCTTGGAGGAGTTTGTTATTACCGACCTTCTGAAGCCTACTTCTGTCAACTCATCAAAGTCATTCTCCGTCCAGCTTTGTTCCGTTGCTGGTGAGGAGCTGCGATCCTTTGGAGGAGAAGAGGCACTCTGATTTTAGAATTTTCAGCTTTTCTGTTCTGGTTTCTCCCCATGTTTGTGGTTTTATCTACCTTTGGTCTTTGATGTTGGTGACCTACAGATGGAGTTCTGGTGTAGAAGACCTTTTTGTTGATGTTGATGCTATTCTTTTCTGTTTGTTAGTTTTCCTTCTAATAGTCAGGTCCCTCAGCTGCAGGTCTGTTGGAGTTTGCTGGAGGTCCATCCTGGGTATCACAAGTGGAGGCTGCAGAACAGCAAATATTGCTGCCTGATCCTTCCTCTGGAAGCTTCATCCCAGAGGGGCAGCCGCCTATATGAGGTATCTGTCAGGCCCTACTGGGAGGTGTGTCTCCCAGTTAGGCTACACGGGGGTCAGGGACCCACTTGAGGAGGCAGTCTGTCCATTCTCAGAACTCAAACGCCATGCTGGGAGAACACTGCTCTCTTCAGAGCTGTGAGACAGGGACGTTTAAGTCTGCAGAAGTTGTCTGCTGCCTTTTGTTCAGCTATGCCCTGCCCACAGAGGTAGAGTCTAGAGGCAGTAGGCCTTGTTGAGCTGTGGTGGTCTCCGCCCAGTTCAAGCTTCCCAGCCACTTTTCATTTGACTTTTTCTTACCTACTCAAGCCTCAGCAATGGCAGATGCCCCTCCCCCAGCCAGGCTGCAGCCTCGCAGTTCCAACTCAGACTCTGTGCTAGCAGTAAGCAAGGCTCTGTGGGTGTGGGACGCACCAAGCCAGGCGCAGGATATAATCTCCTGGTGTGCCGTTTGCTAAGACCATTGGAAAAGCACGGTATTTGGGCGGGAGTGTCCTGTTTTTCCAGGTAGTCTGTCACAGCTTCCCTTGGCTAGGAAAGGGAAATCCCCCAACCCCTTGCACTTCCAGGTGAGGTGATGCCCCACCCTGCTTCAGCTCGCCCTCCGTTGGCTGCACCCACTGTCCAACCAGTCTCAATGAGATGAACCAGGTACCTCAGCTGCAATTGCAGAAATAACCCATCTTCTGCGTCGATCACGCTGGGAGCTGCAGACTGGAGCTGTTCCTATTCAGCCGTCTTGCTGCTGTTGTTATTTGTTTGTCATTTTTCTGCTTGGGATTCTCTGAACTCCTTGGATCTGTGGTTTGATGTATTTTGTTAATTTTGAAAATTTCCTTGTAAATATTTCTTTGAACAATTATATCTCTCTTCTGGGATTGTAACCACTCATTGTTAGATCGTTTGATATTGTTCCACAGCTCTTCAATGTTCTGTGTGTGTGTGTGTGTGTGTGTGTGTTTTTAACTGTTTTCTCTGTGTTTTGGTTGGGTAATTTCTAATATCCTATCTTCAAGTTTATTGATTCTTTTCTTGGTTCTCTCAAGTGTACTGAAGAGTCAGCTAAGTCACAATGGTTTTCTTTCCCCTAGTATTTTCTTTTTTAAAAAAGTGTTTTTAATATATTTTTTAAATCCCCTAGTATTTTCATTTGACTTTTTCTTACAGTTTCCATCTATTTGCTGAAAATGTTCATCTCTTAATGCATGCTGACACTTTCCCCCTAGAGCATCTAACATATGAATTATAGTTATTTTAAATTCCTCATCTGATAGCTTTAATATCTGGGTTCTTCCTGAGTCTGGTTGTGTTGATTGCATTGTCTCTTGACTTTGGTTGTTTTTATCTTGTTTTCCATGTATGTCTTCTAATTTTTGATTGAATGTTGGGCATCAGGTATAGAAAAACCAACACTATGGTAAATAGTATTTATTTCTGCAAATGGGCATGCCTCCTGTGCTAGCCTATTAGTGTTGGCAATGCTATATTATGAGATATTACATCCTCCTGAGTAAACCTACTTAGTAATTGAGGTGGGTTTGAATTTTGTTGTTGCTATGGTGACCTTCAGTACATCACTGACTTTAATTTTTCTAGCATTACTTTGTGCTTAGGGTGGAGGCTGGGGTTCCAGGATATTTTTCTCAGAGCTCCTGCTTCACCCTCAATTTTCAGTCTTACCAGTTTGTCTGTGACAAAGACTGGGAGGCCTATCTCCATGCTCTTGCCTTCTCCCCAGAAGTAGACTGCTGTTGCTCGTTACTTGGTGCTTGCTTGGTGGTGGAGACAGGGAAGGGAGATTCTCTCTTGTCCAGATCCAGCTTCAGTCTTAGGCAAGTCTGTCTGCCTAGGTCTTAGGAATGGGACTTTCTCAGTGATCCTGCTCTTCTTCCCAGTGACTGCCAAACTGCCTCATATCTGTGCTGGGTCTTGAATAGGACAGTTCCTCGCCCCTCCCCCACATGTTGGAGACCCCTATTCATATTGTCATATATATGATCCTTGACCCAGAACTCTTTCCTTCCCCTTCTCCAGGGGTAGAGGATGTTACTTCTTTTCTTTTTACCTTTTTCCAAGCTCCCCCAACTTTGCCAGTGCCCTGGAAACCTAAACTATATTTATAGGAGAAGAGAGTTCAGTCAGGATTTTGTGAATTTCCTACAACAACAACCACTCCCATTCTTCAGGTCCACACCACCAAAGGAGGTTCCCTTGGTCTCATTGCTCTGCTTCCAGACTTTCTCATGAGCATCCAGTGGAGGCCCAGTAGAAGGTCCTGAATGTGAGTGCAAACTCCCTTTGTGTGTGGAGTTCTCAGGGGTGCTATACTCTTGTGCCAGCCCACACTTGGCTTTTGCTCTTAATCGTAAAGTTTAGCCAAATTCTTCTTACCCACTTGTACAGTCCCAGCATCTCTTCCTCCTGGTCTCTGCTACAGAGAAATCAGTGAGGGTGCTCCATCTTTCCTTGGAGAAGCCTGACTTTTCTTGGATTTAAGGATATTTGGTTGCCCCATGCCCTCAGCTCTTTGATGAGTTCATGAAAAGTTATCGTGTTGTAGTATATCCGGTCTTTTTGTTTTGTTTTGTTTGTAGTTTATTTTTCTGTTATTAGGGTAGGGGAATAATTTTTCCTGCTTTCTACACTCTACATGGAACCAGACATGGTTTCAAATAGTTTATCTCTTCTTTACAAAAAAAAAAAAATCCCTAAAGTCTCTAACCGATGAAGAAATTTAAGCACAGAACATTTTAATCACCTGAAGTTATACAGCCAGAAGGAGTAGTGCTGACATTCAAGCCTCTCAGTAGTCTGATGGCAGAGGCTGCACCATGAACCACTAAAATACACCACTGTGCATGTTGCACATGGTCTACCTATGTCATTTTTAATTTACTCAGTGCTTTCCTGAGGGGTAGCAGTTTGCTTCCCATGGTTTGCTATTATAAACAATGCTGCAATGAAATTGTGAAGTTATCTCCCAAGGATAAGGTCCTGGACCTATTGCTGGGTCAAAAGGTATACTTATATAAATTTAAAATACCTACTGCCAAATAGCAACTAGGAAGAGTCCTTTAAAAATTACATTTAAACTCTTCAATGACAAAATTACAGAAGTGGTATGAAGACAAGCTTATTGCAAAAATTCAAATGTAAATGTTAGTTATATGCACATAACCTAGAAATGCTTAACAATTAAGAAAAAACTAGGTATGTCACGAATATATAAAATATATGTAGATTCTATTTTATCATTTACTACCATAAAATATACACAAAGCTATTATAAAAAGTTAAAATATATCAAAACTCATGCATGTAAACACTTACAGACCATACATGGCACCATTCTCAGTCAAGAGACATATAAACAAACAGAAAGATGCAGTATTAAATCATAACTGCATTAAATTAACTGTAGCATGTACTGTACTACTATAATAATTTTGCAGCCACCTCCTGTAGCTATTGCAGTGAGCTCAAGTGTTGTGAGTATCAGCTTCAAATGCTGTGTGATGCTCATCATCTCCCTTCAAGCAGTTCCTCTCTTCAGGAAATTGCATATCACAGCAAAAAGTGATCTTATGGTTCTCATGTATTTTTCATTGTGTTTGTTGCAATACCAAAACCTGGAATAATACCAGGGGACCCATACAAAGCACCACTAGGGATGCTGGAAGGGTTCCCAGGAAGCAGAGAAAAGTCATGACATTACAAGAAAAAAGTTGAATTGTTTGATATGCACTGAGGTCTGCAGCTGTGGTTGCTGCCATTTCAGACAGATGAGGCATCTTGTAAACAGATGACATAAACTTACGGTATTGATAAATACAGCACAGTGGTGCAAATGTGTTTTCCTTCTGTATGATTTTCTTAATATTTTCTTTTCTCTGGCTTACTTTATTGGAAGAATACAGTATATAACACATGTAACCTACAAAATGTGTGTTATTTGACTGTTTATGTTAACTGTAAGGCTTCTGATCAATATTAGGCTATTAGTAGTTACATTTTGGGGAGTCAAAAGTTATACATGGACTTTCGAGTGTGTGGGGGTCAATGCCCCTAACTCCCACATCGTTCAAGGGTCAATGTGTATATATATATATGTGTGTGTGTGTGTGTGTGTGTGTGTGTGTATGTATATGTATATATACATATATATAGATAGATACATATATATATATATATATATATATATATATATATATATATATATATATATGTCTCTGTGTGTCTTTACTCCTGGCCCACTCCAATCCTACCTCTCCTCCTGTACCAACCACTATTGCTGTCTGCCATGTATAATGGATAGGATTTTGAAAGCAGAGAGGAGAGCATTTCAAGCAGAAAGCACAGCATGAGCAAAGGAAGAGAGTTGGAAATGATACAACATGTGGCAGGGACAATAGGAAAGCAAGCCTGTCTGGAGCAGAGTTATGCAATGTCAGAGACAAGTTTGCAAAAGTAGAGGGAGCTACAGAAGCCGGGCAGAGGACTTGTGATATGATATAATTGGAAATACAGAGCTATTCTTTATTTTGGGACAGAGCAGTGAGATGATAAAGCTGTTGTCTCAAGATGATCCTGGCCAAAACAATTGCACATTGTTTGGATGGGAGCACATGGAATCAGGAGTCATGGCCAAGACTCTGTGGAGATAATCCGTGAAGGAGGAGGTGAAGGCCTGAGCCACATGGCCATATTAGACATAGAGAGGAAGGCGTGGAATAGGACTTCTCAATAAATGAACTGACACGTGACCCACTGGAAGTTATCAACATGTCAAAGAGATAACGAACTTGTGTACTGTGTGTATACAAGGCTGAGTATTACAACTTCTTAAGATAAATGTTTTATAATTTCCCCTGCTTAAATTCCATAGTCAAGTGTTATCATTTCTCCCCTACATACACTCTCGCTCTGTTGCCGCCCTCTGCCTTTGTTTCCTCACTTAGCTAAATCATAGGCCTGACTAAATCCAACTGTCTACTGTGTGACTGAACCACACAGCAGAACGTACCTGGAGAAAATCCGGGTATGTCAAATTGACATCAAGTGGAGCCTCAAGGCCACCAGGCATTAATACCAAACTGCCTTGTTTTCCCTCTCCCGTTCTCACTGTGACCTCTATTTCAGACCTTCACTGCCCTCCCCAAACCTCCAGCACTTCCCCTATCTTCAGTGTCAGCCCATGATACTGCTTTCTATTACAGTGGAAAACAGAAGCCACTGGAGGGGACAGGTGCCAGCTCCCACCATTAGCCACCTGGACCCACCTCTCTGGATCTGTGCCCACCCACTGTGCCTGCCCTCCTCTTATCACAGACAACCACTGGGGCTCCTTGGAAAGCCAACGTCTGCCCCTACTCATAGGCAACATCCTCCTGCACTCCCTCAGGCCACTACTCCAGAAATTCTCCCTCTGTCTCCTGTGGCAACCAATGTTTTCTTTATTTCTGGATCATCAAACAATCAACCATGTTGACTTGTCTTTCATGTTAAAAACAACAACAACAAAACCCTCTGGGCCCCTCTCTCTCCTTTAGTTACTATTGTATTCTTTTCCTTTGCTTTATGTGACAAGTTCTCCTGAAGAGTTGTTCACATTCATTGTTTGTAATTCCTTTCTTCTCCCTCTTGAAGCCACTCCAGTTGGGTTTTTACTACCACCTGTTCACCAAAACTACTATTACCAAAGTCTCCAAATCTAAAGGTGAGTGCTTAGGGATCATTACACCTGAACTGTCAGCAGGATGCCCTGTCAATGTACCTTCCAAACTGAGACACGTGGGAGGGGGAATGGCTGTGAGTAATGACTAGATCATGTCAGTAGGTGTAAACTGGGATTGTCTGGGGGCAAACCATGATATATCAGCAGATTCAAAACAGCTTTTCCTTCCGTCTTTTGAAACATTTCTACTCTGGGCCTGTGGACAGCAGTAATCAGGTTTTCTTCCTGCCTTCCTGACTACTCCATGCCAGTCTCTTTTGCCCATTCCTCCTAATCTCCTGGTCTTCAAAACAGTGAGATGCCCCAGGACTCAGCCCTTAAACCTCTTCCCTCCTCTGCACTCACTCCCACAGGGATCTCCTCCTGTCCCAGGGCTTTAAATACCATCAAATGCTAACGACTCTCAAATTTATATCTGGCCTGCATCTCTGCCCTGGACTTGAATAGCCATCTGCCCACTCTGTGTATCTGCAGACTTCCCCATTGTAGTATGTTCAACATTGAGCAACTCTTTCCCAAAACCTGTTTCCCATCTCAGATTATAACAACTCAGTGCTCCTAGCCACTCTGGCTGAACGCCTCAGTGTCATCCTTAGCTCCTCTCTTTCTCTCACCACCCTCAGCCCACATCTGCTGAGTCAGCAAATCCTGTTGGCACATACATCAAAAGAGACCCGGAACCTGCTTCTCATCACCCTCCCACCTCCGCCTTAGCGTGAGTCACCAGTATCTTGTGCTGGGATGGTTGTAATTGCTCCCGGAGTGGTCGCCTCCCTTCTATCCTTGCCCCCTTCGCATTCCTCGCTACAGCTCTCAGAGCCATGCTGTAGAAATAATTGGAAGCCAGATCCTGTCGTGTTTCTTCTGAAAACCCTCCGATGACTTCCCTTCTCATTCGTAAAAGCCAGTGTTCTCATTCTGTACTGCCTTCTTATTCATTCGCTCTAAGTCCTTTGCAGTTGCTGATCCCTCGGCTGGAACCAGATATTCACATGTGTTACTCCCTCACGTCTTTACTTGAAAGCCATGTCCCCAATAAGCCTATCCAAACCCTGACATCCCATCTGAACCTTGACACTTCATACCCCCTTCCTTGCCTTGTTTTCTTCTGGGCTTCTACCACTGGCTAACATAGTGTTTATCTTCTATATCTTACGTATTGGCTGTTTCCCCACCTACAATGGAAGTTCATTAGGACTAGGGTTTTTGTCTATTTCAGTTGTTGCTGATCCTCAGCACCTAAAAACGTGCCTGACACAGACTAGATCCAATAAATATTTGTTGAGTGAATTCTCTTGCAATTAAATGCACACAATGGAAGAGGAGATGTTGCAGCTATAATAAGCAAAGGAAACCAGACATTGATCCTTCCATGTGAAATACGACCCAAGCTTCTATATATAATACTTCACAGAGTGTTCTGCAGAGGATTAACAACACAAGAGACACCACAAATAAAAAGGAGTCCACAATCAAATAAGTTGGGAAATACTGCATAGGATACTTTTAGGAATTCAGATGGTGCAATCGCAAATAAAAATCTCTGATAAATCATTTAGGAAATAGGTTTCTATCTTTTTCTTTCTTCTTCCATTAGCACTTCATCCAGCCAATTCTTAAGTAGTCTTCAAGGCACAGTGTGTTGGCCAGGTGTGGTGGCTCATGCCTGTAATCTCAGCACTTTGGGAGGCTGAGGTGTGCAGATCACCTGAGGCCAAGAGTTTGAGGCCAGCCTGGCCAACATGGTGAAATCCTGTCTCTACTAAAAATACAAAAATTAGCTTGGTGTGGTGGTGGGCGCCTGTAATCCCAGCTATTTCAATGGCTGAGGCATGAGAATCGCTTGCATCCAGGAGACAGAAGTTGCAGTGAGTCAAGGTTGCACCACTGCACTCCAGCCTGAGAAATAGAGTGAAATTCTGTCTCCAAAAAAAAAAAAAAAAAAGGACTCAATGTATCAACAGTTGACATTCTTTCAGGCTGCCCAGCTTCACTGGACACCTTTCCTGCATTTGTGGAGCCTCTGACCTAACCGCCACAAGTTAGGATAGAGCATAGACCATTGAGCCCTACTGCAGTGAGGCTTCCATTGGAAGCTAGTTTTGCGAAGAAGCAGGGGTCATGCAAAGTCCATCCTGCAGGGCAGCGGTTGCAGAGGTTCCCATGGTCACATATAGTGTCCTGTACCAGAGGTGGGATAGGAGGAATCTGCATGTCGAGGTGGTAGCAGTGGTGGCAGTATTGTGATCTAATTTGAGCAGTATTGTGATCTAATTTGAGCAGTATTGTGGTCTAATTTGGGCATTGTTCCTGGCTTCTCTATCTCCTAACCCTAACCCTAACCAAGTGTTCCTCAAACATGTCTCAGTCAGAGCTCTTCTCTTAAGAAAACACCTATTAACTTCCAGCAAACATCAGCGTTCCTTTGGTGGTCTGCTCCACATCTGTGCTCTCAGAGCCCTGCTACAGTCCGCCACAGGCGCACCAGGGACTGAGATCCTGGCTGTGTCTCCTCTAATCCCAGGAATTCTCAACCCTAGGAAGTAGGACAAAGCCATCAGTATTGCTTTCAAGACCTAGATGATTGCAATGTGCAGCCAGAATTGAGAACCCCCAGGTAGGATAAACATTTTCCTGGATTCTGAACTTGGAATAGTGTTCTGAAATTCAGGCAGCTATGAAGAGCTGGCCCCTAAGTGCTGTGAGAGGCATGTCCCCATGCCCGTGTGGAATGCCACAGATCCAAGGCCAAGGCCATCACTGCAGGCCAGCGCAGCTGAGAGAGGAGTGGAACAACTCAGTGAGCAACCTGCATCAGGGAGAAGTCTTCTCTCCTGTTATGAAGTCCAGGTGCTGGTGAGCATCAGCTTCTGGATCAGCCTATCGGCCCCGCACCTGGGGACTCTGGGAAAAATAAGAACTCCTGTAATAGCATCTAGCAGACAAAGAGCTGGGAGAATGACAGGGGCATGAACGAGAAGAGCCAGCACTTGCACAGACTGAATGAGCTCCTGGGAGCTGGAGTGAGTGTTCTGTGCACTTTGAGAAACAGCACAGATCATTCAGCTTAGTGGTCATGATCCAGTCAACAAAGAAACTCTCTTTATTCTCCTCCCCCCTACCCCCGAGACCTCACAGATCCCACATGGATTTTGAAAGCTTTTATCTGCCAAATACCCGAATCTGTTATGTTATAATGTAATGTGGGTTTTTGGTGCTTATTAATTGTTTAGTAGGCTGTGTTGCCCAAGGAGCTTGTGAGAGTAGTGAGTAAATATGACCTTTCCATTAACCATTTCAATACACTGAAAACAGCTCTACTCCCTGTGTGACTCCAGCCTGGGAATTCACTTTGGTCTTTTTCTTTAGATTTTCTCTGATGAGAGCAATCCTCTAGCTTTTTCTCCACCTCTCAACAATCACATTTGAATGGTCACATGAGCTCATCAAGAAAAACACAGTTTTTCTTCTTCTTTAGAGGCACCTACCAAGGTGTTCTGACCAAATTAGAACAACAGGATGTAAATGCTTTCAGTACCTCCTAAAAGCAGTACTGTTCGCCCAATAATAACTCAGGATGCACCTGTTAAAGTGGTTCAAATGGTGGCATTTCAGTTTCTGAATGTCCTGGGGTTGTCTTGACAATGTTACAACACATTTGGGTCTTGTGTTATCCTCTGGAGGTGGAAAACAAAAGCTGTATTTTTCCCATTCAGTAGCCATTCCTCCCATGTCAGTTCTTATGTGCTCCCTGGGATGAGGACAGCTTCCAACGAGAGGCTTTGCCATGCACCTACAGGGCTGCTGTCGGAAGGGAGTGCAGCTCCTTGAAGGCTGTGGATTTGCAATAAGAAGGCAGCGTAGACCGGGCGTGGTGGCTCACGCCTGTAATCCCAGCACTTTGGGAGGCCGAGGTGAGTGGATCACGAGGTTAGGAGATTGAGACCAGCCTGGCCAACATAGTGAAACCCCGTCTCTACTAAAAATACAAAAATTAGCCGGGTGTGGTGGCAGGTGCCTGTAGTCCCAACTACTCAGGAGGCTAAGGCAGGAGAATTGCTTGAACCCAGGAGGCAGAGGTTGCAGTGAGCCAAGAGCATGCCATTGCACTCCAGCCTGGGTGACAGAGTAAGAATCTGTCTCAAAAAAAGAAGGCAGTGTAGCAATACTATTTTGCTAGAAGTAGTACTAACTTCTAACAATACAGACCAACATACCTATTGCCTTTTCTGCTTGGGAAAGGCCATGATTTTGAGGGGGGTCTCTCTCAAGCAAGCCATCCTCTGAGGGTAGACAAATGTGACTTTTCATCCATTCCTTCATGCATTCATTCAACAAACAGGTATCGTATTAGTCTGTTTTTGCGCTGCTGATAAAGACATACCTGAGATTGGGCAATTTCCAAAAGAAAGAGGTTTACTGGACTTATAATTCCAAGTGGCCGGGGAGGCATCCCAATCATGGCAGGTGAAAGGCACGTCTCACATGGCAGCAGACAAGAGAAGAGAGCTTATGAAGGAAGTCTCCCCTTTTTAAAACCATCAGATCTCATGAGACTCATTCACTATCATGAGAACAGTGCAGGAAAGACCTTGTCCCCATGATTCAATCACCTCCCACCGGGTTCCTCCCACAACACATGGGAATTGTGGGAGTTACAATTCAAGATGAAATTTGGGTGGGGACACAGCCAAACCATATCAGGTATTAAATGCCTGCTGTGTACCAGACATCACGTAAACACCTCTCAGGCCATGGGGCTTACAGTTTAGAGGGAAAGTCCGAGGCTAAACAAAATTCACACAACCAAATAATTACCCTTCTGTGAAGGGATATGGGGAGAAAGGACAAGATATTAGTGCAGGAAGCCTAACCCCAGCTGGAGGTCAGGGAATTTTTTACTGAGAACATTGTATTATTTCATCGCTGTACACAAATTCAGTTGTATCTTCACTTTTAGGCTTTCTGAGCTGGAAGCCACGCTGCTTGGCGATGGGAATCTAAGCAGGACCATGTGTGGCTGCTACCATATGAAGCAACATGTCAGTCCCTTGGGAGGGCTGGGAGTTCAGAGGAAGTGACGCTGAGCAGCCTGTGTGGAGGGGTGGCCGGGTCATGCAGGAAAGGCCGCATGTGAGAGAAGGTGCCAGGCACAGTGAGTCAGTTTGTTTTGGTGGAGCCTGGGAAAGAGATGTGGTTAGAAAGAGGGGTTCCTTCATCCAACACTTGTTGAGCCTCAACTGTATCCAGGCATTTGGGTGCTAGGGAGAGAGAAGTGAATGTGGCAAATAGCCCCTGGCCTTCGGGGAGCTTATTGATGGAGAAGACGGCCACCTTAACCAGCTAAGTCTGCAACAAAATGGCATCAAATGACAAAAAGTGTTATGCAGAAATTAAACAGCATGGCACTGGTGAGAGCTCAGTGGGCAGAGGGAGGCTGCTGCAGAGAGGGGCTTTGACTTGTCAATGTGGAAAGGCAATCGCCAGGCACTGAGGAGGTGGCGTGGGGGCAAGAGACCTGAGGGTGCAGGGAGTCCAGTCACAGAAGACAGGAAGGGAACAAGCACAGGGCACCACACACAAGGGCCTGAGAAGGGGAATGCTGGGAGGGTATCTAGAATCATCCCTAATGGCTAGAATCTAGGCGAGCAGAGGGCAGAGTGGTATGGGTTGAGATTGCATCTTTCCTGAAGGCCCTTGCAAGCCAAGGCAAAGAGCTGGAATTTGACTGTATGTGAAGGGAAGCCCCTGAAGGAAGTTAAGCAAAGGAGTGACACGATTCAATTCTAGCTGCTGGATGAAGGATGGATGGGAAGGACTTAAGAGTGGAAACAACATTCAGGAGGCTACTGTAGCAGACAGGAAGAGAAGGATATGGCAGCAGTGGAGAGATATCAGTCAGTGGGAGCTGTGGCTCAGAGATGGCAATGATTGGACTTGCTGATGGGGAGATCGAGTAGGAGGCGGGGATCAAGGCACTGCAATAAAGAAAAAGGGTAACAAAGTTTACAACTCAGAGGTCGGGGGTGGTGGCTCACACCTGTAATCCCAGCACTCTGGGAGCCTGAGGCAGGCAGATCACTTGAGGCCAGGAGTCTGAGACAAAGTTTGCAACTCAGGTTTCTGGTTTGTGCAACAGCGAGGAAGAACTATTTACTGAGGAGGGGAAATCGGAGGACAAGCAGATTGCTGCAGGGAAGCACAAGGTCAGCTTCAGCACACCTGCAGGACAAACAAGAGGAGGCATCCTGTAGATAGTGAGAGCTCAGAGAGAGGCCTCGGCTGCAAATGTACACTTTGGCAGCAGCATATAGATGGTGTTAAAGCCATGGCTATGGATGAGATCACCTAGGGAGTGATGCAGAGAAACAAAAGTGGGTTGGAGGCTGAGCGCTGAAAACTGACATCAAAGGTTGGGTTGAAGAGACTGAGGAGTGACGTGGGGATGGTAGGAGGTAGATCAGAGAAGCAGAAAGGACGGTGGATGCAGATGGGGCCAATGGCAGTTGTACCAACGCTGCTGAGAAGCCCAGGAAGATGAGGAACATAAAGTGTTCATTTGACTTGTCAATGTGGACATCTTCAGTGACTTTGAGAAGACTTGGTGTGTGGCAGGTTTGAGAGTCAGAGTGGCATGAGCTGAAGGATGAATGGAAAGTGAAATACAGATAATTTTTTTTTTTTTTTTGCTTATACACTGATGAAAATGGTCCAGTAGGAAGGAGTGATGAGTAACTTGTGCAGGAGAGAAAGAGAGGAGCTGAAGAACAAAGCCTTTGAGCAGGGAGCAGGGAGGGCATATGAGATTCCTAGGGCTGCTGTAACACCACACTCTTGGTGGCATAAAACCACGTACGTTTATTCTCTTACAGTTTTGGAGGTCAGAAGTCCAAAACCAGTTGCACTGGACTATAAATTGTCCACAGGACTGCAGGTCCCTCCAGAGGCTCTGAGGGGGAGTCTATTTCCTTGCTTTTTCCAGCATCTAGAGCTGCTTTTCCTGGCTCTTGGCCCCTTCATCTTCCAAACCAGCAGTTTAACATCTTCAAATCTCTTTCTGCTTTTGTTACGTCGCCTCCGGCTGTGTAGTCAAATTTCCTACTGCCCCTCTGTTATGAGGACACTTGTGATCACATTTAGGACCCACCGAGATAATCCAGGGTAATCTCTCCAGCTCACGACCCTTAATTTAATCACACCTGCAAAGCCTTCTGCCATATAAAGAAACAATCAGATGTTTCAGGAATTAGGACCTGGTTATCCGTGAGGGGCATTATTCTGGAGGACTGGGCTTTGCTAGGCAGGGATATACTGACTTGCTCCTTTGTGGGCAGAGGGAAAGGCGCCTGTGCAGGGGTGTGTAGATTTGGCGGGGGAGGGATAAGGGAGCTCATGCTTTTGGCTTCATTTTTCTCAGAAACATGAGATAAAGCTGGCAGCTGAGAGGATGGCGACTGACAGGGTGGGGTGGGGAGAGGAGAGGAGGAGCAGTGTCAGTGGAAGTATGGAAGCATCTCAGAGAGTGGGGCAGCACACTGCCTAGGCAGAGGTAGTCAGTTTTAGGGCAGGGGTGAGGAGGAATTTAAGGCTTATTTTTACCAGTGTGAAGGAGACATGCGGCTTGACTGTGCGATTTTTCTCCAGCAGAGTCTGGCTACCTGGTTGAAGGCACAGGGAACCCAGAGAGACAAAGCTCACCAGCATCTGTGGGGAGAATGTGGCAGGGCAGGAAGTGAAGGGTGAGACTCCATGGGCTGTAACTTGGCCAAGAGGCAAGAGAAGACATAGCAGTCTGTTGGGCTGCGAGGGGATTGTAGAAGATGGTGGGGTGGGTAGCTCAGAGGTCATGATGAGAAAGAAGCATTGCAGAAATGGGTTTCTTGAGCAAACAGTCGAGGAGGTGCTGGGCAGAGTGGATGCCTTCAGATTTTGGAGATGGTGCAGATGCTGGTGATGACAAGTGCTAGGGTCTCCCTTTTGGGTGTGAGTTACTGAGGGAAAGGTAGATGGAGCATCCACCTGGATGCTGAAGATGCCAGGAATGAAAGACAGGAAAGGGGTGGCCAGGAACACTGTGAGCCAGGAACCAAAGTCTTCACTGAACCAGGAAGAGTGATGTGGAAGAATGACAGGAACTGGCAGGGAAGAGGGTGCCATGCCCAGTGGCATCAATTTAAGGAGTACTGAAGGTTTTGTAGGATTTGGAAGGAGCAATGGGGAACCAGGAAGGCATCAGCTTTACTTCCTGGCTCTGAGGGACTCCAGGTGTGAAAGAATGAGCAGCCAACACTTGAGAGAGCTCCTAGAACTGTGTTTCAGTTAAAAACGAAAGACACTGATGCTGTAAGAGTGTATGGCGATGCTTGTGGGAATTTCCCAACAGCACCGTGGAAGGGTTTGGGAGGTTTGAGGTGTTGGAGAACACAGGGATTAGAGTTTGGCAATAACAGTTATTGGAGAGAATCCCTGGATTTCTAGTGTTGAGTGAGTTTCACAGGGACACAAAGCATGATGCAACCACATCACGGAAGGCCTTGAATGGCTGCCCCAGGCATGACTATTTCACCCCATCGGCCAAGGCCATGGGGACAGTGGTGGCGTTTTGGTCCAAGTTTAAGCAGCAAACTGTCTTGGTCAAAGGCAGGCTTTAGGAAAATTAATTTTCCAGCCATGTGAATGAAAGAGACTCTTAGAAAGCTACTGCAATAGGCCAGGCTTAGTCTCCGTTCAGGGTATGAACACTGAGAATGCTGGAAGGAAATCATGGTTACAGGAAATGCGGTTGAATTTTGAGACACACGGGAAAAGAGCGAGCAATACAAGATGCCTCCCATGTTTCAAGCTTAAGTGGCTGGAAGAACAGACTTTGGAGGGAGATTGATGGTTTTGGTGTTTGGCAACCCATGGTTAAAGGTTCATAAGTGGCTGGGCCTAAGGCGGGAGCAGAATAATGACAGGTGAGACAGTGGGCGCGTCCCCTGTTGCCAAGCCAGGAGTTAACTACCTGGGGCTTCCTGGATTGAGGATAATCAAAGAGCAGGCAGGATCCCGGAGAGCAACCCGGTGATTCTAATTTAGCTTCAGATCCCCGGGGTAGGGCTGGAGCTTTCGATTACCATCTGCTGTAAGGTGTGTGTGCAGGTGCGAGTTATGAGTCGCTGGGCAGGGATGCCTTCGGGCCATTCCACAGGCTGAGTTCAGCCATAGCAGGCGTGCTGTCATTCATTTTAGTAACCGGCATAAATGAGGGCACAGTAGGACCCCAGTCAGTCCTGCTAGGTGCCTTCTTGTCTAGAAGAGGCCGCTTTGACTTTCTTTCCTCTTCATCCCTGAGTTGAGGCCGGGCAGGGGTAACCAGCAAGGGGTTCACTTGGGAAGCGGGTTTCATCACCCCTCTGAGCCCAGGTCGAGAATCACAGTTGAGCTCTGGCCAAGAATCTAACTAATTCAGGTGCAAACCCCACCGTCTTTTGCCCGATTTCCTATATTCTGCTGACAGCAGCTCTCTCCTTCCTTTGGCCTGAAATCGCGGGGTGCTTGTGTGAGCTGAGATTAGCCGAGGCTGACCTGCCCCTCCGTGGCTTCCCGCTGGCCTCATCGTTACTTCGTGTGTTCACCGCCGCTCTGAGCAGAGCGGGCCCCTGGGGAAAGGGGTGCGGGCCTGGGTTGCGGAGGCGCAGGAGCCTCGCGGGATTGGGGCGAGCCGTCCCATGGCGGGAAGGCAGGAGGCCGGACTCGGAAGGCTCTCCCAGACTCGGTCCCTCGCTCCAGCCCTTCCCTGCCGGTGCGCGGAGCCGGGGCTCGGGCGGGTAGCGGTCGCGCGCCGGCGCGGGCGGGCGGGGAGAGGAAGGGGCGCGGCCTCTCCGGGGCGGGGCGCGGGGCGGGCGCTGCGAGGGGACCGGAGGCCGCGGCGAGAGCGCGCCCAGCCCCGCCGCGATGCCCGCGCGCCCAGGACGCCTCCTCCCGCTGCTGGCCCGGCCGGCGGCCCTGACTGCGCTGCTGCTGCTGCTGCTGGGCCATGGCGGCGGCGGGCGCTGGGGCGCCCGGGCCCAGGAGGCGGCGGCGGCGGCGGCGGACGGGCCCCCCGCGGCAGACGGCGAGGACGGACAGGACCCGCACAGCAAGCACCTGTACACGGCCGACATGTTCACGCACGGGATCCAGAGCGCCGCGCACTTCGTCATGTTCTTCGCGCCCTGGTAACGCCGCGCAGGCCGGCGCCCTGCCCCGCACTTGGCGCTTCGCGGGGCGTGGGGCGCTTGGGCGCCGCGGGCGGGGGGTCCCGGGGCCACGTGGACGCCGACGGCTCTGGTCTGCGGCGTGCGTGCTACGGGCGCGGGGCTCGGGGCTCAGGGGTGCGGGGTGTAATACTGGGGGCGCGGGGCCGGGAGCGCGGGGACCCTGCGGGTTCGGGGCTCCGGCTGGCGGGGAGCGGGGGGCGCGGGCGCCGCGGCTCGGGGCCGGGAGCCGGGGACTGCAGGGGACCGAGGGCTTGGGGCTCCGGGTCGGGAGGCGTGAGCTCAGCGGGCCGGGCACTGGCGGCTGACGTGGCGCTCGGCGGCCGGGGCGGTGCGGGAGGAGGGGGCGGACCCCTAGGGGACAGCCGGGAAAAGCCCGCCCTGCGCCGCGCTCCTGAATTCAACCGCCTCTTGCACCTCGGCACCGAGGGAGGGGAAGGTGGGGTCGTCGCCCTTTCGGGCAGCCGGGAGTCCAAATGTCACCCCGCGGTCCCTGCCCAGCGCCCCAAACTTCCTGTGCCGGCCGGACGCGCGGCCTGCCCGTGGGCCACGTGCACTCACCAGAGCGGCCTTGCTGCTGCCGCGGCCACCGGGGTCGGCTGGGACAGACTGCGGGCACGTCCCCTTCCAGAGGCTTTAACTGAAAAATAGAACCCAGGAAGGTGTGGTTTCCCACTTTGTGCGTCTTTTGTGGGATAGGAAGGAGTGGTCCGGGCAGAGGAGGGTTGCTGAGCTACCCCGGGAAGACCAAGGTAGTGCGAATTCTGGAACCCCTCCGCCCCCCTGCAGCTCAGGGTGGATGTAATCTCTGAACGGAGCCCACTGGTCCTCAACTCCAGGCTGTCCTGTCACCTCCCTGCTGCTCTCTCGGGTCCAGGTCACTTGTTATGTGTGAGATCGGAAAAGCCCCTCCGTTGAGCAGATGGTCCCTCTTGCTTTGGTTCTCTGGGCGAGGCTTTGGTGTGGGCCTCGCTGCTGACCTGAGAGACCCTACCCTGGCACTCATCCCACGGAAGAGCTTCCTGTCATTCACACAAGCATGTGCACAGCTTTCCTGCCAGTGCCGGGATGCCCCGAGGAAGGGAAGTGACCACAGGCCAGAGCAGAAAGCCATAATTTTAGGACACAAGACCTTTGAGAGGTTGGAATAGCCTGCAGGTTCTTGTTGCAGAACTTGGTATTCTTCCCCAGAGCTCAGTAGAGGCTCACTTGGGAAAGGGATGTAGGGAGGCATAGAGAAAAGGTACCCTAAGAAAAATGGCCAGTTCAGAAATTGTACCTTTCAAACTGGGAGAAACGTTTTTCTCTTAACCTTGTATTCAGGCTATTACTGCGTTTCAGTTCATTTGGAGTTAAATCAACTTTTAGGGCCACTGTGGGTTTATTAACAATGTGTATATGAAGTACATTATGTTTCACATTCCTAAGAACCAACTGACTCGAATTTTTACAACTCCAATGGTTTAGAAATTACTTTGTAACATAAAACAATCAGGCAGTATTAACAGTTTCTCTTTGTTCGGGAGTATTCTCAGCAACTATTTCAATTAAGTGTACTACTTAATTGGAGCCTATTTCAGTGGAATACATCTGTCGATGGGTTTTCTTTTTTCTTTCTTCATTATTTATTTATTTTAGAGATGGGATCTTGCTCTGTTACCCAGCCTGAAACCAGTGGTACGCAGCCGCAGCTCACTGTAGCCTCTAACTCCTGGGCTCAAGTGATTCTCCTGCCTCAGCCTCTGAAGTAGCTGTGACTACAGGCGCAGGTCATCACACCCAGCTTATTTTGTTGTTGTTGTTTTTGTTGTAGTTGGTAGAAACAGGGTCTCGCTATGTTGCCGGGGCTGGTCTCAAACTCCTGGCCTCAATCAGTACTTCTGCCCTGGCCTCCCAAAGTACTGAGATTACAGGCATGAGCCATCGCATCCCATTCTTTACTTTTTTTTTTTTTTTAAAGAAAAACTGACATGCAGATGTAATAAGTCCCCACAGTGCCAAAGGAATTTTAAGTTTAGAATCTTTGCAATAAATACCAGCTAGTCCTGGGCTGAGTGAGAGAAAACTGGCACATCTGGGCACTTGGTATTAAGTAAATTCCTTTTCCATTATATGTGGCTTGTAGACATTTAGCTGGATGCTTCCAGAATAATTAGCTTTATGTTGTTACTTTTTTTTTTTTTTTTTTTTTTTGAGATGGAGTCTTGCTCTGTTGCCAGGCTGGAGTGCAGTAGCGCAATCTTGATTTACTGCAACCTCCACCTCCTGGGTTTAAGCGATTCTCCTGCCTCAGCCTCCTGAGAAGCTGGGACTACAGGTGCGTGCCACCACGCCCAGCTAATTTTTGTATTTTTAGTAGAGATGGGGTTTCACCATGTTGGCCAGGATTGTCTCGATCTCTTGACCTCGTGTTCTGCCCGCCTCTTCCTCCCAAAGTGCTGGGATTACAGGCGTAAGCCACCGCACCTGGCATATTTGTTGACTTCTTGATAGTCTACTACAAATACTTAAACAGAGATATGTGGGTTTCTATGATGGTGTTTAAGTTGGACTTTTAAGAGGGCCCTTTCAGAAAACTGCAGATACTGCAGTAGGGCTCACGAATAGGCTGCCAGGAAAGGAGGCTGAGTGGGCGGCGAGTCAAATGGGAGGTCAGCAGGGGCAAGATCAAGTAGGACCAACAATACCTGGCACAACACTTTGGTAAGTTGTAAGGCTGAGAGCAAGGTGGTGACTCTGGAGGGGTCTATGCAGGAGAGGGAAGGAGGTCCTGGAGTGGTGAGCTGAGCGTTTGGAGCTCAGATAGAAGACTCAGTGGACTCCCCCTCAACACACACATACCTTTTTCCAGTTTCAGCTGCCGTGGAGTGGTGAAAGCCCACGTGTGATTAAGGGGCTGGGGCCCCTGTAACAAAAACATCAATCTGTGTATTTTTGCCCTGCACTTGGCTTCTGCAGGGTTATCCTGCTGCTGTAGATTTTTTGCCAACATCAGGTCACAACTTCTGTATGGCCAGTTTGTGAGTCACCCTGAACCTGGTGACAGTGAGGTCAAGATTTGGACCAGGTAGCTTTGCTCTACTTCTTGGCCACAGGCTACCTTCTGAGTGCAGCTGCCTGTCTCAGAGTTGGGTGCTGTAGCCGCAGGGCCGACTAGATAGCACCTGTGGCCCCATCACAGCCAGGAGCAAGGGCACGCCCAACTTGGTGATGGCCCAGAATGGTCAGTTTTGATTTAGCGCACCACAAACTTATTTATTGTTTATTCTCATTCTTAATCTAATCTTGTGTTTTCTCAAAAAAAAAAAAGGGAAAAAAAAAGCAGTAGCAAAACAAAACCTTGTCAAGATTGCAGAGGAGTTCTAAAGTTCCAGAATGAGCATATCTGATCAAAGTCCCCTGAAGGTCAGAACTGCCCTTGACAGTCCCTTAGGAAGGTGCCTTGTTGGACACCGCCCCAGTCAGTCAGTCAGTCCCCACTGCCAGCGTTTCCTCCAGCATTAGAACTATCATGGCTTCTTTGGTTAAACACCAAATGGACTAGTTCTCAAACCTGTGCCTTTAGACAGCAGGGTCACACTTAATGTAGTCGGAGAGATGCTCATGCCATGAGAAGCATGTAGGAACCAAGGCCTGCTGAGGAACAAAAACCTCACATCTCCCAGCTTGCACACACTTCAGGGTTCTGTGGGAATTGCCTTTTTTTTTTTCTTGTTTCCTTCTCCCCCGCCACATAAACTCACTTTGTTGAATCTACAGAAGTTAAATCTGCATGTATAGTTTCATTGTGCTTTTTTTTTTGTATCTGAGTATCTCATAAAGCAGGGATTCTCTTAGCTGGCCAAGAAAGTGCTGTTTAGGGAAGACACATTAACTTGAAGCAGACTTTTTCAGTGCTACCTTTAAGTCTGTTTTTCTTTTTTTTTTTTTTTTTTTTTTGAGATGGAGTCTTGCTCTATCGCCCAGGCTGGAGTGCAATAGCATGGTCTCGGCTCACTGCAACCTCCGCCTCCCGGGTTCAAGCGATTCTCCTGCCTCAGCCTCCTGAGTAGCTGAGATTACAGGCGTGTGCCACCATGCCCAGCTAATTTTTGTATTTTTAGTAGAGATGGGGCTTCACCTTGTTGGTCAGGCTGGTCTCGAACTCCTGACCTTGTGATCCGCTTGCTTCGGCTTCCCAAAGTGCTGGGATTATAGGTGTGAGCCACCACACCCGGCTTAAATCCTTTTTTTCTTAAGAGACAAAATCTCTGTCACCCAGGCTGGAGTGCAGTGGTGTGATCATAGCTCGCTGCAGCCTCAAACTTCTGGCCTCAAGTGATCCCTCTGCCTCAGCCTCCCAGGTAGCTAGGACTGCAGGTGTGTGCCACCACACCAGGCTAATTTTTTAAAATTTTTTGTAGATGGGGGTCTCACTGTGTTGCCCAGGCCAGTCTTGAACCCCTGGGCTCAAGCAGCTCTCCTGCCTTGGCCTCCCAAAGTGCTGGGATTACAGGCATGAGCCACTGCTACCGACTTAAATGCTTATTTTTGAGGTAATCTGTCAGAAAATAAAAGGAGATTTAACAGATTATTAAATTATTTTGAGGAAGAAGTCACAATTCTAAGCGTTGAGTGTTCATATAAGCAAGTGTGTTTAAAAAAAAAGCATTTTAAAAAGCGATACAGCAAAGTGGTTACATTGTAGGCATCAGTGTGTTCCTGCCATATTAAATAGCAAACAAACCCATGTGTCATAATGCTATGGGATTGTAGTTGAAACCTGGGATAAAGTTTCTAGGGTTGTCTCATTCAAAATTCGAGTATGGCACTGTAGACATACTGTCCAGAGAACACAGCAAGAGCTGTGGTCAGCTGTATGACTTAAGGTCTAGTGTTGGGAAAGATGCTGATATCCTCATGAAATGTGAAGCATGGCAAGAAGCCTAGTTAAGATACTATTTTAAATGATGGGTGATTTTAAAATATTTATACATAACTGAATTCATACAATGAATACTAAGAATAGACATTTGCTTACTTCAACCCTAGAAGTATAGGTGGCCACAAACTTTTTTTTTCCCCTTCTCATTGGAGAAAATTGCAGGTGATTAAATTTTGAGATTGCCTTATGTTTGTAGCCATTTGGTTATATAGTGGAGGAGACTTGACGAATAAAAGTAGCAGATACAGCAGGAAGTGCTAAGCTACTGTCCAAGGGAGGAGTAGAGAGGCTTTCCAGAAGGGCAGGAGAAGAGAATGGGTGCTGAACAGCCCGGGGAGTCAGGGCCAACTTGCTAGAGGAAGTGACACCCAAACTAAACCTGAAGGGCAGATAGATTTAGCTAGGTGGAGTTTAGGGACGAAGTGTCAGAGAGAATGTGTCCCAGGGCCAAGCCAAGCTATAGTCCTTTGGGAACACTGCAGATGCTGCAGTAGGGCTCAGGAGTAGGCCACAAGGGAAGGAGGGTGGACTCTGGGATAGAAGTCAAGCGGGAGGTCAGCAGGGCCAGAACAACTAGGATCCAGAACAACACTTTGCTAAGTTTAATACTGGAACAAGGCCAAGATTTCATGCTGAGAACAGGGCAGTGACTCTGGAGGGATGGGAGCAGGGGAGAGAGGTCCTGGAGTACTGGTCCAGGAGCTGCCATCTGCAATGGTGTAAAGAAAGGACTGAGAGCCCCATTGTCCCCTGGACAGAGCTGAAGTTGTGGGCCAGCTGCCCTGTGACCTGATACTCAATGTGCTTGTACTCTTGCCTTGTTCCAGGTGTGGACACTGCCAGCGGCTGCAGCCGACTTGGAATGACCTGGGAGACAAATACAACAGCATGGAAGATGCCAAAGTCTATGTGGCTAAAGTGGACTGCACGGCCCACTCCGACGTGTGCTCCGCCCAGGGGGTGCGAGGATACCCCACGTAAGTTGGAAGGAAGGGGGCACACTTCCTAGGTGGCTCCTGGCTACAAAGAAAGTCCTAGTTAAACTTTTGGTAAAGGTGTGAAGAGATACTAAATTTAAGCAGGCAGTCCCTGTCATTAGGGAGAAACTGCATTTAATGCTGTGTCTGTTTTAGATGGCTTTTATACTTGGATAACCTTTAATTCATCAGTGTTGGGTTTTCCTGTTTATAAGAGAATGTGTTTGCAAGAGAAAAATGACGGTCCCGCCATGCTAGATGTTCACCGGTACATTTTACACAGTGTGCATGGACTGTCATCAGTTTTGGCTTGCTTTTGCTGGTGACTTATTCGCAAACACCCTTCCTATAGTTCCTTCCCGTGTGACTCCCACAGGGCTGTTCCTGTTGGAAAGAAAGTATAGAGTCTGACAGACGATGATACTTACTTCCTTGACAGTTAAGAATTTTTTTGGTTATAAGAAATAGAAATTGAAATGTTCTCAATTCTAGAAATAGAATTGTTCTCTTATTAAACAGAAAGAAAGGACTATTTAAAAGGCTGTGGAGGAACCTCTGAGAGCCAGCTCCAGGGGCCTGGGGTCTGTTTCTCCTGCACCTCCCTTGAGATGACGGCTTTCCAGGCCTGTATCTCTGTTTGCACAGAAGGGCCCACCACTGACTGGCCCTGCTTGGCTGGAATGTTCGTTCCAGGAATAGTCACTGTGGCCAGGGAAACAGGAGCTTATAGCAAGACACATGCCCATTCACACCATGTGCCAAGTGTTGGAGGGAAAAGCAGTTCTTCAAAAAAGAGAAGAAGCTGTTTCTGAAGGAGGTGGAGGGATTGCCACGGTCACTTCCTTGCTGTTTGTTTCAATTGAGGAATGAAGTCAATTCTATACAATTTATTGCTTAATTGAATAATATAGGGGTCCATCAATAAAGCAAAAAATTGGAGCTTATATTCAAACCTGGGAGGCAGAAAAGTGGAGGGATCTCCAGGCTTGAACCTAGAAGTCGTAGTCAAATCCCAGCTCTACCATTTACTTACCACCCAGCTCTGACCTCATCACTTAACCTGTAAGTAAGGTGATCCCCCAAACATTGTTACAGGACTTACATGGAATGTGTGCAGACACCAATCTGAGCACACCCAATACATGTTAGGGTTTTCCCTACCATTTGGAAATGTGGGCGTTTCCACAAAGGACCCTGGAATTCTTGGTCTTTGGTGACTGCTTGCTAATGTAAGTGCCATAATTTGGGTTTACTTTAAATCAGATCAATGGAGATAAAATTGCTTACTATCTGTATCTACGTAAAAGCATTAACTATTCTATGCTTTATAGTATTGCATTGAAAGTATGGATCAAGAGCATCCCAAAGAAGCAGGTAGTGAGCAGAGATGAGGGCGAGGAGGTGAATGCTTACCTGTTGAGAAACTGTTGCTTTCAAAGTTCAGGGGCAGCAGGGGTGAGCTGGCTGTGGTGTCTTTCCTCTTAACCTGCTGACCATCTGTGGCCTGAGACTATGTGCATCACACACCATGCCACAGGGAAGGTGACACAGGACCTGTAATGGAGCTGAGAGTGGTATGTGTTATGGGGCTTCAGAGAAGGAAGTGAAGGCTTCCACCTCAGCCTGGCCATAACAGCTGTCAGCTGCAATATCAGCTACTCCATAGTTGGTATTCACCAAAAACCATCACAAATTTAAAAAGTCACAAATGTAAAAAGTCACAAATTTAAAAAGGCCCATGTTGGATCATGTGTTTAGATTTTTAATGAGAAGAGCTGGTCTCCCCAAGTAAACCATGGCTGGTTTTGTGTTATTAAAAAGAACAAAAATGAACGTACACCACACTGAACACAGTTTGGGAAGGAACCTCTGTGACCATCACTGCCCTGCAGAAGCTCCAAGAACAGATTATTTTCCCCCCGAGAATGCAGGAGGTGGAATGTGCTGTGTGCAATGTGGTCGCACTGGGGCATCTGTAGATTGACTTGAGCGAGCTTTGACTCCTCTAAGACAAGTGCCCATCCCATAGAGTGGTTGTGAGGCCCGAGGCAGGTGACGACTGTACCTGCCTGAGTCCAGGCATGTGTCAGGACATGAGCTTTCACGTTATTCTTTCCTGGCAAGTGTAACTGGAGTAAAGGATTGGAGGGGCAGGGAGTTTGGGCTCCCACGCTCCCTAGAGATGGCTGGCTGTGCTCAGGAAAATGTTTTGAGGTCTTCCTGTTGGGCCAGTCATGAATCATTACAGCAGGGCAGGACTGACGGGGGGAACTACCTGTGTTAGTTTCCTAGGCTGCTGTAACAAAGTTCCACAAACCGGGTGGCCAGAAACAATAGAAATGTATTCTCTGCAGTCCTGGAGGCCAGAGGTCCTAAATCAAGGAGCCAGCAGGGTCATGCTCCCTCTGAAACCTGTAGGGGAATCCTCCCTTGCCTCGTCCTGGCTCCTGTTGGTTTCCTGGTCATCTTTGGCGTTCCTTGGCTTGTAGATGCATCACTGCCGTCCTCTGTCCTCACATGCCCTTCTCTCTCTGTGTGTGTGTGTCTCTCTGTGTCCAAACCCTTCTTACAAGGACACCAGTCATGCTAGATTGGGGCCCATCCTAGTGACCTCATTTTAACTTGAATATCTCTGTAAAGACCTTATTCTAAATAAGGTCACCTTCTGAGATTGATGGTTATGACTTACACAGATCTGTCTTGCAGGACACAGTTCAACTGATAACACTGTCTACGGTAGTAGAACTTTCATCATGCTGTTTGCCAAGGCAGTACCTACATGGGGATTTTCTCCCTGCAGTCTCCTTGAAAAAGGAGACTCAAATGCCCATGTGGAGGCTTGGTAATAGCGGAAATCTGGGGCAATACTTTGTTTGGGCTTGTACCCTGTGGCCCAGTCTCCATCACCTCCCTCACCCCTGTCGACAGTGAGAATTGAAGTCAGATGTCCCAAACTCACTGCAAGGTCTGGACCAGAAGTGTCCGCTCTGTCCCTGGGCTCTGTGAACTTACCGAGGAAGAATCTCAGACTTCCTGGGCAGGTTAGAACGATTATCAGTCCAACAACAAGAAGATGGTTTTTTTTAAATTATTTGTTTTGCAAATGAATAGCAAATTACAAAAAAATCATAGGCTAGGTCTTACTGTATTTTACTTTTAGCAAAGACACAAGTGTGACCGTCCCTGGTCCTTTCTGATGTCTTGAGGATCCACCCATTTCCCTTCCTGAAGAGCGTTAGCGGGAGGCAGAGCCGTGCAGGAAGCAGTTTCTGTTTCCAGGTGCGGAACACACCTTGTGGGAGCCTGGGGAGGTGCCAGGCTAGGTGAGGGCAATCATCTTTGATACCGCAGATGTTGCAGTTGCTTATCATGTTGAACTTCGTGACGTAGCCGGTGTACTGGCCAAATCTAGTTAAGTTTTGGCTGTTTTTTGTGGTTATGAGAGTCTGAGCTGCTGAGGAAGCTGGGTGTATATTCTGCACTGGAGACACATTAGGGACCCTACCTATGCCCCATCATACCATCTTAGGTTCTGGGTAAGGCCAGTATGCTGATACTAATTTCAAAGCCTAATCTAGCCATGTGACTTCATTTTAAGGAGAATTAGCCATTTTTTTTTGGACTGAATGTGTGTGTACCCCAGCATTCATAGGGGAAATCCTAATCCCCAATGCTGGCAATAGGAGGTGGGGCCTTTGAGAGGGAGCAGGTTATTAGGGTGGAGCTCTCATGAATAGGGTTGCATACCTTATGAAAGAGGCCCCAGAGAGTTCTGTTTCCCCTTTTGCCATGTGAGGGCACAGCAAGAAGACACCATCTGTGAACCAGAAAGCCCTCACCAGACACTGACTCTGCTGGCACCTTGATCTCAGACTTCCCAGTCTCTAGAGCTAGGCGAAATAGATTCTGTTGTTTCTAAGACACCCAATCTGTGGTCTTCTGTTACAGCCGTTGAACTAAGACACTATTCAAACCTTCATGTCAGATTTTACATATGTTGCCGTCTTACAATTCTGATACCGTACATTGGGCATTTACTCACAAAATCCACATACGCGCTGTAGAAGTGGCAGGGGTGTTTAGATGAGCAGGCTTGCTAACAAATGGTACTCTGTATTTCTTTTTTCTTCTATTGGTAGTCACATTTTTGCCTATCCTTGACACCTTCTATGAATTTTTATCTAGAGTATTAGAGCACGTTTTCCCGTGACTGCTGGAGGGATACAGGAACTGAGTGTTAATTTCATCCTCTGGTGATGTCTTTTGCTTATGGTTAAAGGACCTACTCCCGTATCCTCTCTGCAGATTCCTTCAGAGGCCAACATTTGTAGGAAAAAGAAAAGATTCCTTCTCTATGGGAAGGTGAATGGACAGCATCAGTCAATGTCAAGGATGTTCTTATAGCTGGAAACTTGAATTCTCACAGTAACTGGATATTCAGGCCTTGTAAGAGTTGAATACCTGCCAGGTGGCCTGGAAGAATACCTTAATTGCAAAACAACACCGTGTCTGCTCCAGTCCTAATTTGAACACAGACAACAACTGCTGAAGCCGGGAAAGCATAACAGTAGCTTGCAGGGAAGGCCCGAGGCTGCTGCAGAGGAGCACTGAGTACTGTAGCTTTTGAGGCCTCAGTCACAGCAGCGGGCTGGAAGTTTTCACCTCATTTTAGTTTTCCTTGAATAAAACCAGAAACTTCTGAAAGTTTAGGATTAACTGAATGTATTATCTCCTGGAACGTTATGTTTGTTTCCTTTTTATCAGAGAGGAGCAGATACATGCCTGGCTGCAGCCCCTTGACAGCTCATTTTCTGATTGTTTCACTAAATGAGTTTGCTCTCTGATAAGACAACTTTCTTTTTGCTCTGTCTAATCCTTTGTTATTCTTTCAGCTTAAAGCTTTTCAAGCCAGGCCAAGAAGCTGTGAAGTACCAGGGTCCTCGGGACTTCCAGACACTGGAAAACTGGATGCTGCAGACACTGAACGAGGAGCCAGTGGTGAGTGTCTACCTCCTTCCCTCCCTCCCTCCCTCCCTCCCTCTCTCCCTGCCTACATCTTTGGGGTAATATGTAACGGGGCAGAGGCCAGTTGAGGTTAATGATTAAGGCTGCCATTTTAAAGCAACTCTACTTTTTTTGGAGCTTATTGGTATTACAGGTAAAGATGAACTTTTACAGAAACTTTTTGGTGTGGAAATACCTAAATGTGCACAAAAGTCAAGAGAAGGCTAAACCCTGAGTTTCAGCAGTTACCACCATTTTGGTGTTTGTCTTCCCCACCACCCTGCGCCTTGTTTGGCTGTAGTCAGTCTTCAGGGAAGTCACTTGTGTGGCCTCACAGATAAGCACTTACTCTTTGTTAACACTGCCACCCTGCCACTGTCACAGGTAATACAGTTCACAACTGTACCCCAGCATCAGAGACTGACTCTGGACCACCTGGGGTCAGGGCTGGGCCCAGCCTAGAATCTCCTATCCAAGCCAGCACTGGAGCCTCCTCCCATCCCCCCGACCTTTGCCCTCCACCACCTGCAGCCCTCTGGCTCGGGCCTAGCCCGACAGCTGTACCCGTAGGGTGGATCCTTCCTTTTCTTCTCGGTGCTCAGTCCCCGAGTCTCTAATGGGCTTTGCTTATAACATCATTTTGTACCATTAATACTCTGTGTCTTAATGCACTTCCCTTACTAAGGCTAATATCAGGAGATTGTAGACTCTTAGAATATTATGTACTAAAAAGGATTTATAATCCTCCCCCTCCCCAGTTGATGTTGGAAGTCTTCACTTTTTTATAAATCATCATGATCATAAACCACTGGTTAAGTGTTCCTTTGTGGGTGGTGCCTTCTGATTAATGCCGAGTGCTCAGGTCCCTGGATGCCGGGTAGACCTGGTGGGTCATGCTGCTGTGTTGGAGAGGGACTGGAAAAACACTCGTGTTCCTACACTGTAGGATCCTGATGAGCTAGGAAGAGCATCTGAAGTCTTTGTAATTTCAATTTCAACAAATACCTAAGACTACCTTCTTGTATCAGCTAAGCGCCCACTGATTTGAAGGTGGTCTGTGGTGGTCCTTTTGGAGCTTTGCCGCTTACTGTTGCCAGTTTCCAGTGTGTCTGTGCGGCTCTTCCGCTCTGCCCCATCTTCTCTGATGACCTAATCAGAAACTTGGCTGCTGATTCAGTGCTTCCATCCCTCACCTGCAAAGACTCTCTCAACTCGGCTGGGTGTGGTGGCTCATGCCTGTAATCCTAGCACTTTGGGAGGCTGAGGCGGGTGGATCACCCAAGGTCAAGAGTTCAAGACCAGCCTGGCCAACATGGTGAAACGTCGTCTCTGCTAAAAATACAAAAATTAGCCAGGTGGTAGGTGCCTGTAATCCCAGCTACTTGGGAGGCTGAGGCAGGAGAATCACTTGAACCCAGGAGGCAGAGGTTGCAGTGAGGCGAGATCATGCCACTGCACTCCAGCCTATGCAACAGAGCAAAAACTATCGTGGAAAAAAAAAAAAAACTCTCTGAACTGTATGGTGGAGACTGTTGGTGTGTGATGTTATGTCGTTGAACCAGAGACTTACCTAACTTTAGCTAAAAGAACCACAGACCTCTCAGGAAATTTGCATCTTTGTCCTGGCAAGAAAGCTGAATGAGCAGGTGTGACTTTCATAGTTTTCAATTGGACATTGTTTCCTTTGTGAAAATATTCTCTTTGTGGGGACACATATATTGGATGGTAGCAAACCAATTTTAAGGAGGAGTTAATAGCCTCAAATAAATTTCACCAAAAAAGCCAGTCTTCTATGATGGCTTTATTCAAGAAACCAGCAGCCAGTATCAGGACGGCAGAAAGACCTCATCTCATGGCCCATTTCCCTTAGTGGAGGTGGCGGCCTCACCTGCAGGTTGGAAAGGGCTGAGAGGCTGCGTCCAGGCTCTGCAAGGGACTTTCTGTCTCCTCAGTGTGGGAGCAGGATGGCCGCGTGTAATCCCCCCATGCCACCCCAGAACCACAGTCACCAACTTGCCATATTTTAGTGTCTCCAGCAATAGCAGGCCCCAGATAATTGCCAGAAACAATGACAATGCGCCTTATTGTGGAAAAGTTTAAGTATATACACTTTATACTGCAAACCAGAATTCTCTTAGCTTTTTAAGTGAAAACTTTAAAAAAAGTTCTTTATCTGTATACCTAAGTAACTTAGTACATACATTTTTTAATATTCACGTGGGATAAATTTAGATTTTTTTAAGTGTTGTGGCAATATTCAAGAAACTCAAAAGACAATTTGTCACTTTGTACATTCTACTGCAATTTTTGTATTTCCATGTTTGCTTCTGTATTTTTTCTTGAACAGTTATACAAACATGTTTCATCTCATTAATGATTTTATATATTTATGTGGTCTTTATGTTGATCATGTCTTATATTATTTTATCATGTGGATTTGCCATAATTCAACTCTAATTCTGTCAGTGGATATTTAGGTTATTTATACCTTTTCCATCATCAGTAATGATGTAGGGAACAAGTTTATCTTTGTAAAGGACTTTCCACCCCCCCTTCTTTTGAGTGATATTTTTAGAATATAGTATTCCCAGACATAAAATTATAAGGCCAAGAATAAAAAAAAAGATCATTTTTATGGCTCTTGATGAATATAGCCAGGTTTCTTAAGCACCATATCAGCTTATGCTGCCACTGTAGGGCAAGACGTGACCTGTTTCTGGGATGCACTGTGGTGTTCCCATGCCGGGGGACTGCTCTGGAGTCTGCCAGGAACCCAGGAAGCAACTAGAGGCCCCGCATGTGCCATAAATGAACACTTCATACTGAAAGGCCCTTGAACATCTCATGGAGAGTGGCACACGGTATTTTATTTCACCTTATGTGCACCCATTGACTGTTCACTTAGCCATTCTTCCCTTGGGCATTGTTTTGTGTGGGTATTTAGCACTTTGAAAGTCTTGACGCGCTGGCAGCAGAAGGGAAACTTTGTGGTTCTTTATGATTCCAGCCCTGCACAGCTTTGAACTGTCAGCACCTTTAAAGCCTTTAACAACTTAGCTTGGATATTCTTTTTAATAGGAATATGAACCCCCAGATAAAAGCTGAGTAATATACACTTAATGTGTCTGCAGCAGAACACTGATTCCATTATCTTTCCCTCATTTCTGGTTACTTTGGTTGGAAGCCACAGCTGTACCTGGTCTGAAAAGTTGAGAAATGTAGGATTGTGACTAGACAGCTGCACACATTGCTGTCTGCTTGGGTCCTGGCAGAAGCATCTTTTGAAAAGCCCCTTTCCCCCTCTTTCTGTATGAGACTTAGTCATATGAATTACATTCTTTCTTGAAGGTGCAGCTTATGTTCATGCCATGGTTTTCTCTCTGTTGCCTTTCATTCACCTGCATTTTCCTTCTCATCACCTCCTTTTCTCTCTGATCAGTCTTCCACAGTTGTGTCTTCCTCACAGTTTTCCCTGTCATTTGTGTAAAGTAAGGATAACCAGGCCTTCCTGGTCCCTGAGTTTCTCATTCTCAGCTTTGTCCATTTTGCTACCCTCGTGTCTGTTTGTGTGTTTTTTGAGGAAGAGTCTCACTCTGTTGCCCAGGCAGGAGTGCAGTGGCATGTTCTCAGCTCACTGCAGCCTCCACCCCCTGGGATCAAGTGATCCTCCCACCTCAGCCTCCCAAGTAGCTGGGACCACAGGCGCACGTCACCATGCTCAGGTAAATAAAATTTTTTTTTTGTAGCGATGGGGTCTCACTCTGTTGCCTAGGCTGGTCTTGAACTGCTGGGCTCAAGCAGTCCTCTTGCCTCAGCCTCCCAAAATGCTAGGCTGTCACCTAGGCTGGTCTTGAACTGCTGGGCTCAAGCAGTCCTCTTGCCTCAGCCTCCCAAAATGCTAGGGTTACAGGCACGAGCCACTGCGCTGGGCACTCTGGTGTCTGCAAGTGCTGACCCCTTCAGAATACGTCCATTGGGCGTTGTATTTTGTATTCTTTGTGAAGTATCCAAGTACGTTTCAAAGAAGAGGACAGGGTATAGGGTAAGACTGTCCTTTGCATTGTCTGCTTTGTTTGGTTGGGTTTTGGGGTAGGGACAGCTATCACTTGGCTGCCCTGGAGACTCAGACCTAGAGCTTTCACTGAGGGTGAGGCTGACGAGGGGGCTTTTTGCTGAAGCTTCCAGAGGGCTTGACGAGATCAGTTCCTGACCTGGCCTCACTCAGCACAGCAGCATCGTACAAGGGTTCCAGGTTGTTGGGTGAGGGAGGCATCTGCAGGCGGTTCCCCACAGACACAGTCACCTCCTGGATGGTTTCCCTGTGTCTCCACTGACACACCCATGACTGTTTTATTTCCTCCTGTTAGACACCAGAGCCGGAAGTGGAACCGCCCAGTGCCCCCGAGCTCAAGCAAGGGCTGTATGAGCTCTCAGCAAGCAACTTTGAGCTGCACGTTGCACAAGGTAAGGGGGACGTCCTGATGCCAGCTTCAGAGAATCACTATTATTCCTTGGCGTGCTGGGCTTTTCCTTCCTGCTACTCAAGGGCTCTTAGATAGCAGCATCAGTGGCACTGACAAAGGGTCACTCTAGAGGAGCTGTTGGGACCGTTGTTCAGTGCACCTCCTCTAAAACATGAGTTCTCCTTTTGTCTGTGCCCTTATAGAAACGCCGAGTCTAATGCTAAGCACACGTGACCCGCACACTAGCTGGACAGTGCATCCTTGGCTAAGAGTGTTTATTGACAGACTCACCTCGCTTGATTGCTCTTTACTTTATTGCACTTTGGAGATACTGCATTTTTTTACGGATTGAGGATTTTGGCAGCCCAGCATCTGGCAGGTCTAGCGGTTTTTCCAGCAGCTTGTGCTTACTTTGTATCCCTCTGTCAGCATCTTTTTAGCAATAAAATATTTTTTAATTAAGGTACATTGTTTTTAAAGAAGTAATGCTGTAGCACATTTCATAGACTATAGTGTAAACATAACTTTGATATTCACTAGGGAACCAAAAAATTTGTGTGACTTGTTTTATTGTGATATTATCTTTATTGCAGTGGTCTGGAACCAAACCCACAGTATCTCGGAAGTATGCCTGTGTATTAATGATAATCATATGCTTAATGACCTCAGGCAGAAACAAAAGCTTCTCTCTGTCTAAACAGAATTTAGATTGGGCACAGTGGCTCATGCCTATCATCCCAGCACTTGGGGAGAACAAGGTGGGATGACTACTTGAGCCCAGGAGTTCGAGATCAGCCTAAGCAAGACCTTGTCTCTACAGAAGATTAAAAAAAAAAAAAAGGCTGGGTATGGTAAGCGCACTCCTGAAGCTGAGGTGGGAAGATCACTTGAGCCTGGAAGGTCAAGGCTGCAGTGAGCTGTGATCATGCCACTGTACTCCAGCCTGGGTGACAGAGTGAGATCCTGTCTCAGAAAACAACCAAACAAAACCCAGAATTTAATGACACCGTTATAACATGAATCAAATTAGTTACTCTTTACACTTAAAAGATCTTTCTATACCACATCCCATTTTTTGCAAATGGTCTCCTAATATCAGAATGATCCCCATAAAATTTCCAGTGTGAATACATAAGTCTCCCTTTATTCACACATAGATGTGTTTCAGAAAACTTGGCCCAACACCGAATGACTTGAAAGCAATTTTGGCTTCCTGGCCGGCTCCCATTACCAAATGCTACCATGGAGAGAAATCCCCTTAGAAGACTGGGTTGGAAACGTGAGAAATGGCTTGGATTGCCTCTGGCCTTGTGACTTGTGCCTGCTGGGAGTCAGAGCCCCTCCCCCACCACACTTACTGTCCACAGTAACTTATCGTGAGGCCTTCAGCCTTTTCCCACTTTTGCTAAAAGTTATTTCATCCATACCAGCGCCCTGACGGCAGAACTCTAGCATGCTTTCCGCTACGGGAATGCATTTTCAGCTGGGATTGTCTTGGGCTCTGAGCAGGGTGTGTTTCCCAAATCACCTGTTACGGACCGACTCCGGCAGGACAGACCGACTCCGGCAGGCCTAGCCAGCGCCTCCCTAAGTGGGTCACTGCCACACAGCTGTGTCGTGTAGGTACCATGGTGGCTTCCTGCCCTTGCTGGCTTCCCATCAGTACTCTGATTAGGTTCCCAGAGAGCCTGTCTCCACCTTACAGTGCAGGATCTACTGTGCACCTGCACATGGTTTCAGCTTTGCACATTTTTTAATGGAAGTTGTTAACTTTTAAAGGAAGTTTTTCACCATTTTCTTCAAGTGCATTGTTGCTGTGCTGATGAGACAGTAGCTGTGAGCCTTAGTGTGGCAGAGTCCTGCTCAGACGCCAGGCCACATGCCACTGGTTAGTTCTCTCCCCGGCCACAGCCTGCTTTCAGTTTGGTATCAGCCCAATGTCAGGGTAGAACAGCTAAACACCTTCTGTGTCCAAATAATGATGCTGTGAGGGTTTGTTTGTTTTTTTCCCCGTAGCCAAGGGGGTGATGTTTCATTTTTTAAACTTTTTTTTATGATAAAATATAATACAGATCGAGAAAACAAATGTAGGGCTTAATGAATTTTTATAGCGTGGTCACACTGTAACTACTGTCCAGTTCAAGAAATAAAACTGCCAGCTTCCCGTGTCCCATGCAGGGCACAGCCCGCCCTCCCTTCTCCAAGAAGGCACTTGCCTGACATTTGTGGAAACCACTTGTATTAGTCCGTTTTCACTGCTGATGAATACACACCCGAGACTGGGCAATTTACAAAGGAAAGAGGTTTAATGGAGAACTCACAGTTCCACGTGGCTGGCGAAGCCTCACAATCATGGTGGAAGGCAAGGAGGAGCAAGTCACATCTTATATGGATATCAGCAGGCAAAAAGAGCTTGTGTAGGGAAACTCCCGTTTTTAAAACCATCAGATCTCATGAGACTTATTCACTATCACGAGACCAGCATGGGAAAGACCTGTCCCCGTGACTCAGTTACCTCCTACCTGGTCCCTCCCACGACATGTGGGAATTCAAGATGAGATTTGGGTGGGGACACAGCCAAACCATATCAACTCCTTTATGTGCACTGAAGTGCACATTCCTGAGCACTATAGTTCTATATGTGTATGTGTTTATATATCTTTTAAGGCTCTTTTAACCTGCATGTTCTCCAGACATCTCTTTATCTTTCTTGCTGAAGACATAGGTGGTTTGACCTGTAGAGCTCCCCGTGGTCCAGACTTTGCTAATTGTGTCCCCGTAGTGTGGTCTACATGTTTCCCTGATTTCTCTGTTTCCTGGAAATTGGTAGTTGGGTCTGGGGACAAAATCAGTTTCAGTGTGATGTTTTTTGGGGGCACAAGAAGACCTCATAGCTGGTGGGGGCACAGAACGTCCAGTTGTCTCTCTTTGGGATGTGGTCGACCATGACAGGCAGAGCCTGGGTCCGTCCATTCCTTAGGGCTGCCAAGTGCCGAGGCTCATTCAAGCGTCCCTTCATTTTTTAACCAAGAGAAACTCACCCTCATTTATCACCTGGTTATTCAGCGGTACAGTGCATATAGGAGAGGTGGGAGAAATGCCTGATTCTTTCCTTTTATTACAGTTTTCCAAATAATGAGTTGATTGCTGATTGTCCATCAAAGATGACAAATTTGGTTTTGAGTATTGTTATGAAGTCATGAACAGAAACACATTTGATGGAGTCCCTTTGTACCAATTAAAGTGCTCATGCCGAACTAAGATTTGCTAAGCAGGACAAAGATCTGATTCTTCAATTAACTCTCTAGTGAGGTCTGACATAAATTACAGTTCCTCTTTCCCCCGTCTCTGCCTTGGCTCTCCACTCCAGGCGACCACTTTATCAAGTTCTTCGCTCCGTGGTGTGGTCACTGCAAAGCCCTGGCTCCAACCTGGGAGCAGCTGGCTCTGGGCCTTGAACATTCCGAAACTGTCAAGATTGGCAAGGTGAGTGAAAGCCCTTATTAAACTGGAAATGGACTGCTTTGGGCTGGATTAATTAGCAGAGTGGCCCATTATTCATTCCGTGTGCAAAGTCGCAAACTTGATTTATTAATTCCATTTAGTGTGCCACTTGATAATTCATTTCACCTTCACAGATGGCAGTCTGATTTTGAGTTTTGCTGGCTTTTCCACAGCCTAGAGATAAATTATGGCCTCGGCTGCTTTGTTTATTTTGAAGAGATGGCCAAATCTGAATTGGCAGCCCCAGAGCCCGTTCTGCAAAGAGATGGGGTAGAGCCTTGTAGAATGTTCACTGGACGAACTTGGAGACCGTCCACGTTCGACCTCACCCAAGAGCTCTCTCTAAAAGGACCCTGGCTCTGTGCTCCCCCAAGCACGCAGAAGACCCTCCCTCAGTTTGCACTGTGCCTGGGATTCTTTCCAGCATTTCCTACTTTATACAGAGAAGCCAAGAGTGGTGTCTGACAACTTCTGTGTAACTGGATTTTCTGGAAATATCCAGTGTAGCTCCAGGGACATCACTTTTATTCTTCTACACTTTCCAGCACCCACCAGACACCATGCATAGATTTCCTTTCTTAAAAATCTCATTTTTCTACCTTGCCATGGGGCTGATTTGTATCCAAAAGTAATGCTGCGTGTCTAGGACTGAATGATGGTTAACAGGATGATCTACTTGGGATGGTGAGATGGTCAAAAGCATAAACTTGGGGGTTGGGTAGACCTGGCTGGCTGACCTTGGGAAAAACCTCTCCACGCCTCGGTCTCCCCCTTTGCAAAACTGAGCTAAGATCTACTGTGTGGTGTCTGGGCAGATGAAAGTACACTGCTTAGTGTGATGCTTAGCATGGGGCAGATGCTTGGTAAATTGTAATCACTTTTGTTGTCAGTTAAATGGATATTTCACTGTTGCCTCTTAAACGCTTACGATAATATATACTAATTATACATGTTATTATCAGTTTATATTTATTGAACATTTCGGGGAAGTAATTATAAAATAATCTTGTCTACTGTCTTACCCCATTCCTTGTATCCTTACTTAATTATTGTATGAAATTTTATGGGAGATTCTTTTAGGTTTATATCCATAGAGGATCCTAGCAGACCTAGGCGTGAGCAGACACAAGCCCAGGTGACCACGCTGAAGCCCTTCATCCCTGGCACATGTGGCTGGGTTACACTGGACCCTTAAAAATGCTTGTCCTCTCCCGACCTTGGGCTGAGGCCTCTTGTACTTCAGTTCCGCACCTTAGCTGCTCTCTGACGGGTCTTAGGTGTTGAAATAGTATTTTTACCCCCGTTTGCTGACATAGTGAATAACAACTTAGTCCTGCCTATTTTAGTGCTGGTAGAAAATAAAAAAGAAAGCAATGACTTAGAACAAGATGTTTCATGAAAATGTTGGGCAAGCAGCAGCTTTATGAGATTTAAATGAAAGAAAAAGCTTGAAGAGCTGTGCTTGTTGGTAAATTAAGTTTATAAAATTAAGGACGGATTATAATCTTGACATCTTTGCAGTCTTACCTTTATTATATACCAACTACTCCTGTTTAAAATTCACTTCTTGCTCCCTGTTGATTTTAAAACCCTCTAAGCTTCAGCATGAGAGTAAATTCTAAGCTGGCATGTGAACTGGTCTGGGTCCCAGTCACCGACAGCCAGGCTAACCCCCCTCCCACCACCACCAAATGTCAAGCCAGGGCCCTGACTCAAGCTACCAGGTGCTGACTTTACTTGCTCGAGTTAAAATGTTGCTTCCTAAAAACCGGCATGTTTAACTGAGCTATTAATACAATAAATCTTGCCTCTAAAGTCTTTCCTTTACTCCTTTTAGCTCAGGTATGTTTTAGCATAGCTTTCAGGAACATTCTCTTCAAAAACTGCACCTTGCTGGCAGAGTTGCTACAGAATGTGGATTTTGAAAAGAATATTTGTAACGTACAAAGTGTCCAGTAGCCCCATTAGCAAGAAGGTTCATGAAGAAACTGACTGGGAAGTTGATCTGCTTTTATTCTCAGGTTGATTGTACACAGCACTATGAACTCTGCTCCGGAAACCAGGTTCGTGGCTATCCCACTCTTCTCTGGTTCCGAGATGGGAAAAAGGTACGTCTGCACTTCTTAGTACTGAGAATTCTTCATCTCTTAACCCCATCAGGCTGAGCTACTGAGTGGTTTAATGGGCACAGTGAATTGCCAATCTTGATTGTTAGGGCACTGGTTTGGAGAAATGTGTATAATGAAACAAACGTCTTTCTCTTAATTGATAAGATTTGGGTTGTGGAGATGAACCTTGAAACATTTCAGTGGCCCAGGTTATCACTAGAATAACCCACATCTTACAGTCACAGGGTAACTGTGCTCTGGTTGTAAACACAAACCTTCAGGCCTTTGAACAGAGCTAAGGCTTGCACTTGGTCCGGTTCTGCCTGCCTCCCTCCCTCCTTCCCTGGCCGATGGTCAGCAGCTCAGAGTTCCCCATCAGCACAACGGCTTGCTGGCAGGCCTCTGCCCCAGACTTCTGTGATGTGTAACCCCGTGGAGGGAAGAGGGGCCTGTACAGTTCTCTCACCAAAGCCGAGGCATTCAGTTATCCTCTCTACATTCCCGTCTAAATATGAACATGCAGACTTTGCACCACCGCTAAGACATCTGGGAGCTCTGACCCGGGCAAGCAGGGGTTGCAGGAAGGCTTAAGTGATTCAGAACACCTCAGTGGACTCACTCAGCCGCGTGCCCGTGTCTTGGCCAGGTGGATCAGTACAAGGGAAAGCGGGATTTGGAGTCACTGAGGGAGTACGTGGAGTCGCAGCTGCAGCGCACAGAGACTGGAGCGACGGAGACCGTCACGCCCTCAGAGGCCCCGGTGCTGGCAGCTGAGCCCGAGGCTGACAAGGTGGGTGCCTGCTGGAGTCGGGATCCCCATAAGTGGCCCGTGGCCCCCGGCCCCCCACCTCCCCACCCTCAGAGGCCTCCTCAAATGCTTTGGACAAAATGACAGTTTGGGGACACAGTCATCTGATGGTTGGCTCCAGTTGCGTTTTCAACACGTATTTTTCATCGACTTTCACATGCTTTCAGGGGCGAATGCAAACAAAAGCTTTCCTTTTGAAAACATGAAATGGATGTGAGACAAATCCCAAGACAATATTTGGTGTCAAAAATCTCTAGAGAATCCTTCCTTTCCGCTTCATTCATTTTAAAGAATGACTCTGCTGGGCATGTTTCTGCTATGAAATCTCGACTGCTGGCCCCGGGGCCCTGATTCTATTCCTGACCTTGCTCCGGGCATTTTCCTTTACCCGTTGTAAAGGCCCCTAGAAGACCTGTAGCCAAGAGGGCATCCGCAGCGATCAGGCCAGTGACTGTAGCTGTAACCTGCCTAGGCAGTCCTGATGCACTGAGGGGCTTCCTTCCTTCACTCAGGTAGCAGGAGGTTTCAGATTCATTTGTTCTGCTTTATGAAGCCCTTGTTATGTCACAGGCACTGTTCTAGGCCACCAGGGAATAAAAATAAGACCGGTTTCCTGCCTCTGAAGCATACAGGTCTCTGAGGCAAATGGTGAGAAGACACACAAGCCAATGGCAGGGGGCTGGGGCAGAAATGTGTGCAGGGCTTGGCTGCTAGAGAGAAGTGGGGGCAAATGGGCAAGAAGTGTCCCTAAGGAGCTGATTGACGGGATCTGTGCTGGACAGATAGGCTGGGCAGGGCTGCCACTGAGGGGCTGCACCAGGAGAGGCACAACCCGAGAATCAGCCGGCATTTCTGCAGGGCCAGAGCTGGGGCTGGGGGAACACAGTGGGAGACAGGTCAGGGTGTGGTGTAGGATCCCTGAGAGTGAGAGAGGAGCTGGAGTTGAGAGTCTGTGGGCAGCTGGCCAAGGATTAGGAACTGTATCCCATATTGACAGGGAGCCCATGGAGGCTCTGTGCAGATTGGAGTTGTAGGAAAATGACCGGCATGCACGTGTGCTGGAGGTGGGAAGCTGCTCTATTAGGCCTTTAAAGATGATGCGTTCCCTCATGCTGCAGCCGTGACTGTGCGATGGCGAGGAGGAGAAAGCCAGCATAAGGAGTCCAGCCGCTGTGCAGCGCGGAGAGGGAGGGAGGGTCCGAGGCGAGTCTGATTCCCGCATATCTGGTGGAGGATGGTACCCAGCACAGGGGCGGGGCCAGAGCTCGAGGAAAGGGATGAGCTTGGTTTTCAAGGTGTTGATCTTCAAGGCTTTCGGCTGTGTAGGTGGCAGTGTCCAGTGGCAGTTCCAACCATGAGCCTGGGGCTGCGGCAGGAGGTCTGCACTGGACGAGAGTGCCCGTGTCATCCTCTTCAGGTAGAAGTCATGCCTGAAGGCCAGGAGTTTGGATTTGGAAAAACCAGTGGGGCCACCAACCCCTCCTCCCTGGTGGGGCCACACCAGGCCTCCTCACCCCTACAACCCTGTCCCTAGTTGGGCTCTTGTAGGTCGGGGATGGCCTGAGTGTTGTTTAAAAGTTGACGTTTTGGTTGAAGAAGTAAACAGCTGATTTTGTAGTTGTCAGGACCACTTATGTTAGAGGAGTGTATGTGTCATGGTGGTTACAAAGGTCATCCCAAATTGAGTATAATTATATACCACGGATGTTTTCATCGCAGCACCATTTCTATTTATAATGCAGTTTTCCACCATGAAGTGGGTCTTTTCAGTGCGTGTGGCGTCATGTTTCTGGACATAAAGATGGTAGTGTTCCACAGTGGCCCCCTTGGCCTCCGTCACTGACATGTTACTCGATGCCAGACTCAAATGGAGCAGCCCTGGTACACTTAGCCACGTGATAAATCATCCCATTCCTGCTCTCAGGAGAGAATCGCAGATCCATTTTTGGAGAAACACATAGACGTCATTCTGTAAAGAACTGTCAAGGGAGAATGGCTTTAAAGCAGACTACCATGTAGCACCTTTCCCTTAAATTCTCCAGCCAGAGCTTCCATCAGCGTTTTTCACATTGACTTAGAACAGGCTGCTTTCCATTTTTATGTTCAATGTAAAACAGGTATCATTGCCTTTGCTATTGTAACTAGGTTCTTTCTGTTGCATAGAGAGGATGTCACAAAGGGTGCTAGGAGAATAGGGTGGCCAGTGAGAAAAGCGGCTGAGGATGAGACTTCAGTGGGTATCCTGGAGACTCCAGGCTTAGAGGTGCAGACTCAAGTGTCAGACACCCAGGGCTGCCTGGTCCACACCACAGCGCCCTGGAGAGTTTTCAACCTGCCTCATCCCCAAAAGACAGTCCCCCTCCCCACCTTCATCCCCTGTACAGTGTCCAGCCACCTCCTCACCACATCTCCCAGGCTTGGGACCCAGGGACTTGCATTGATCTCTCTGCCCTTCAGAGGCTGCCAGCCTCCCTTTGTGTGTAGCCTATGAAATGCAGATTGTGTAGGTATTTCTGTGTGACCTTGGAGCCTACGTAACTGCATTTTTAAAAAATTACTGATTCGTGTATCTGCAATCCCAAAGCATGGCCCTGCTCAACTTTAAGGGATGTACTTGAACTGTGGCTTTTTCCTCCCTTGAAGGGCACTGTGTTGGCACTCACTGAAAATAACTTCGATGACACCATTGCAGAAGGAATAACCTTCATCAAGTTTTATGCTCCATGGTAAGTGGCTGTTTAATTAGAAACTACTTTGTCCATGTGTACTAAGTCACATCATGTTTTTCAGCTCATCTGCCACCCCTCCAGACTCAATGTTGGGCACATGTTACATTTATATGTAGGTCATGTTGTAGGAAATAAGGAACCGTTATCATGCTCCTATATTCAAATATTTTAAACTTCAATGGCCTTAATTATATATGGAGAATGAGGCTACAGTTATATCAACTTTGATTATATATGGAGAATGAGGCTAAAGTTATATCAACTTTGGAGAAAACATAAAAATGGAGGCAAATTATGATGGCCATATTCAGTTTTGTGGTATCTGCACTTTTCCAAATAGATGGCTTTTCTTTTTGGCTAAACAATGAGTGTCATGATGTAGCTTTGCTCCTCGGTTCTTTTAAGTACTCGGATTTCTTTTGTAGAGAAATCCAGTAGAGTCTGTTAGAGCCATTCAGTATGCTACGCAGTTTCCTGAACCTGCATGCCACGTGGTCTTGGAGACCAGAGCAGAAATGGATTGCAGGTAGTGTGAGATCCAGACAACCTTGGTTCTAAGACTTACCGTGAATGACTGTATAGTAAACTTGGATGTCCTTTAATTCCTTTGAACCCCAGTTCCCTCAGCTGAAAAATGGGAGTAACTTTTTGTCTTCACAAATAAAACAATCCATTTGGAAAAGCAGAGTGTTAGGACAACAGTAGATTGTTTATCTAAACATGATAAAGGCGTCACTTTTCTTGTTTGTTACACTCCACATGTTCCTGAGAAACTAACCATAGGGGTAAAAAGTTAATAAGCACAGGACTTGAACGAACCATAGCAATGCCTTTCAAATCATTTGCAACATTTAAAAACCTAAAGCTCCACAGATCAAGTATCAAAAAGGAGGATCCCCTTTGGCTGAAGGGGAGCCATCCATACGGCAGGAGGGGGTCAGAAGAGACAAGGGAACAGAGTCGGGTAGAAGGGAGGGTTTGAACCAAACTTAATCATGGCCTTGATGCTCACCCCACATCGCTGAAGTACCAAGGAGGCCTTAAAATGGTTTTGAAATTGTGAGACCATAAGCAATCAAATCTAAAATGTCTTTGGCATTCAAGTGACCTTTTAGAAATTGTGTGGCATCTGCCCTGTTCCCTGTTCCTCTGCTCCTGTGCTTTCATAAACCAGTTAGCACAGTTCACCATGGCATGGAAATGGTCTCAGAATCTCAACTTGTTTTGAGACTGGCTTGCTTCTGTCACATTATCTGAAAGTCTACCTTGGATCAACTTTTGGGTTCTTCATTTGGGATAGGAGGAGGAAGAGTTAATGTGCACCCAGTGGGAGAATTTGGTATTTTACAAATTTCTAGGCAATTGTTGACTGTCCCATACAGAAGAAACAGAGCTTGTCTTGGCAGCAGAGTGTAGGTGAATGATCTCGACCCAGGATTTCAACGAAGCTGCCATTTTTCTCGTCTTAGGTGTGGTCATTGTAAGACTCTGGCTCCTACTTGGGAGGAACTCTCTAAAAAGGAATTCCCTGGTCTGGCGGGGGTCAAGATCGCCGAAGTAGACTGCACTGCTGAACGGAATATCTGCAGCAAGTATTCGGTGGGTACTTGGATGGATGCTTATGGGAGCTCTCAGTATGGGGGCAGATCCCAAGGGAACTGTGCCTCAACCACGATAACTCACTCTGCTCTCATCTTCTCAACAATGTGGTTTTTATGTCCCTTTGAGTTGTTTGTTTGGAGAAGCAAAAGAGATCCTCTCTCAAAGGGAAGGCATTCTTCTTCGCCCGCTTTGTAGTTAGTATCCATGTTTCAGTGCAGGTTTTCAGGCCTTGCTGTCTGAGTAACAAGGCCGTGAAGTAACAGACCCCACGCCATAGACTGTGGGGCTTCCCACACCGCGACTCTTGATGATTGACCAGTGGTCTGTAGCCTTTGCCATAAATACCCGAGTCGCTCATTTTTCACACATAAGCCAGCATTATAAAATGCAGTGGCTGAATCTAAGAATCATTTCAACATAACCTCCTTTCTGAAAGGGCCATGCCAGCAAGTCGGTCCTGTGCTTGGGTTAACTACTGCCTTCATTCCAAGCTGTTAGCACAGTCTGATGGCCTGGAAGATTTGTCATTTTTTTTCTTCTTTGTTATTCAGACACTTTTGGAGCCCTTTAGATGGAGAATAGACGTAACCCAGACATAGTTTCCTTATCATTAAAAGATACCAGTTGTTTTTTGTGCCCTAAAATTCTTAGAAACGAGTTGCCACTGAAACATGTATCCTCAAGAGGATCTTGCTCTCATGGTCTGGTCTGCAGACCACCAGGGCATCGCCAGGGAGGTCATTGGAAATGCAGACTCCCAGGCCTGCTCAATCCAAATCTGCACCTTCAGCAGATCCGCAGGTGATCGTGTGCACAGTAAAGACTGAAAGCGTCTGCTTTAGGGTAAAGTCGTTCCTTTGAGGCTGATCTTTAATGATGTCATTTTGAATTCAGAAGTGAACACACAGCCCCACGGCTGTGCTTTCTAAACAGTAGTCTGCTCCTGTTTTAATGGAATATACACCTTTAAAAATTAGCCACAGAATTTTTCCAGCCACAACGGTAGGAGTGTATCTGGTTTTATTTAGGAAGCAATTTGCATGTGATCTGGACCGCTGGTTTGCAAACTTTTTTCTTTTTTGTTTTAAGGTACGAGGCTACCCCACGTTATTGCTTTTCCGAGGAGGGAAGAAAGTCAGTGAGCACAGTGGAGGCAGAGACCTTGACTCGTTACACCGCTTTGTCCTGAGCCAAGCGAAAGACGAACTTTAGGAACACAGTTGGAGGTCACCTCTCCTGCCCAGCTCCCGCACCCTGCGTTTAGGAGTTCAGTCCCACAGAGGCCACTGGGTTCCCAGTGGTGGCTGTTCAGAAAGCAGAACATACTAAGCGTGAGGTATCTTCTTTGTGTGTGTGTTTTCCAAGCCAACACACTCTACAGATTCTTTATTAAGTTAAGTTTCTCTAAGTAAATGTGTAACTCATGGTCACTGTGTAAACATTTTCAGTGGCGATATATCCCCTTTGACCTTCTCTTGATGAAATTTACATGGTTTCCTTTGAGACTAAAATAGCGTTGAGGGAAATGAAATTGCTGGACTATTTGTGGCTCCTGAGTTGAGTGATTTTGGTGAAAGAAAGCACATCCAAAGCATAGTTTACCTGCCCACGAGTTCTGGAAAGGTGGCCTTGTGGCAGTATTGACGTTCCTCTGATCTTAAGGTCACAGTTGACTCAATACTGTGTTGGTCCGTAGCATGGAGCAGATTGAAATGCAAAAACCCACACCTCTGGAAGATACCTTCACGGCCGCTGCTGGAGCTTCTGTTGCTGTGAATACTTCTCTCAGTGTGAGAGGTTAGCCGTGATGAAAGCAGCGTTACTTCTGACCGTGCCTGAGTAAGAGAATGCTGATGCCATAACTTTATGTGTCGATACTTGTCAAATCAGTTACTGTTCAGGGGATCCTTCTGTTTCTCACGGGGTGAAACATGTCTTTAGTTCCTCATGTTAACACGAAGCCAGAGCCCACATGAACTGTTGGATGTCTTCCTTAGAAAGGGTAGGCATGGAAAATTCCACGAGGCTCATTCTCAGTATCTCATTAACTCATTGAAAGATTCCAGTTGTATTTGTCACCTGGGGTGACAAGACCAGACAGGCTTTCCCAGGCCTGGGTATCCAGGGAGGCTCTGCAGCCCTGCTGAAGGGCCCTAACTAGAGTTCTAGAGTTTCTGATTCTGTTTCTCAGTAGTCCTTTTAGAGGCTTGCTATACTTGGTCTGCTTCAAGGAGGTCGACCTTCTAATGTATGAAGAATGGGATGCATTTGATCTCAAGACCAAAGACAGATGTCAGTGGGCTGCTCTGGCCCTGGTGTGCACGGCTGTGGCAGCTGTTGATGCCAGTGTCCTCTAACTCATGCTGTCCTTGTGATTAAACACCTCTATCTCCCTTGGGAATAAGCACATACAGGCTTAAGCTCTAAGATAGATAGGTGTTTGTCCTTTTACCATCGAGCTACTTCCCATAATAACCACTTTGCATCCAACACTCTTCACCCACCTCCCATACGCAAGGGGATGTGGATACTTGGCCCAAAGTAACTGGTGGTAGGAATCTTAGAAACAAGACCACTTATACTGTCTGTCTGAGGCAGAAGATAACAGCAGCATCTCGACCAGCCTCTGCCTTAAAGGAAATCTTTATTAATCACGTATGGTTCACAGATAATTCTTTTTTTAAAAAAACCCAACCTCCTAGAGAAGCACAACTGTCAAGAGTCTTGTACACACAACTTCAGCTTTGCATCACGAGTCTTGTATTCCAAGAAAATCAAAGTGGTACAATTTGTTTGTTTACACTATGATACTTTCTAAATAAACTCTTTTTTTTTAAAAGTCTGGTCTTTCCTTCAATGTTACAGCAAAACAGATATAAAATAGACAATAAATTATAGTTTATATTTACAAAAAAAGCTGTAAGTGCAAACAGTTGTAGATTATAAATGTATTATTTAATCAGTTTAGTATGAAATTGCCTTCCCAGTACATGATTGTGAAAAAGACATTTAGAAAATATTCTAAAATTTAATCTGAGCCTCACTTTCTACAAGGGAAATCATGATTTCCGTTCATAAACAGCATGCTCATCCCCCTAACACCATTCTTATAAGCTGGGCACCCTCATTTTATTTTCTTCGTTGGTTCTAACCCTGTGGCGTGGTATGCTGTATAGTAAAAAGGCAGAGAACCACTTTACTGAAAAGGTACTAGAGCCGGCAGTCCAGAAGTTAATGTGCTGGTCAAAGAACCGTTCTGGTAAAGAAGAGGTGAGCATTGCCTTCACGTGTTACACGGTTACACACCCCTTGTAGCCTCACCTCAGTGTAATCAGTCTACTTTTGGTACTAGCAAAGAGTACAGCAAATGGAGGATTGAGGTGTAGAAATGGTATGTTTTGGCTGAAATAAGTGTATTTTCACACCAACAAAACTCCAGCACGAACATACAACAGCAATGACTGAGACAAGGGCGCCCCGTGGAGCCCTGGCTGTGGCCTGGGCTGTGCGTCCTGTGGACTTCTGGGAATGAACTGAACAGAGGCGTTCCCCCCACTTCCCCGATTTCTGTTCTCTGTAAAATCTACCTTTGATAGACAGTACTGAACCAGCTGATCCTTTAGCCAAGAATACATTTAACTCCTTTGAGATTATTTTCCCTATTTACTAACAAACACCCCAAATAGCTTGATCTACAGCTAAAACTAATTTTGGTGGGTTTTTGGGGGAGGAGGGTAGGAAGAGCTTCACGGTTATGTTTCTGCAGTTACCAGACCTTATGCTACAGACATCCAAACTCAGCTTGCTACAGACCAACAACTACTCACGTCATTTACCAAGTGAGCAAATTATTAATGAGGTCCTTTAAAATCTTCCTGGGTAATAAGGCACTGGCATGAGATAGTTTCAAAGTCTCATCGTCCCACCTCCAACTGTGCTTCCGTGTTTTTTTAAGGCAGATGTAATCTAGGAATCCAAGGCAGAATGTGTGTCCCCAGCATCTGGTTTCGAGTTAGTGGCATCCACAAGCTCTTACAACCATATTCCTGTATTTTTTCAGAATGACATTGGAGTTGTCATCAAAGTAAAGAACCGAGATGGCATTTAGCTTAGTTGGCGCACAGCACGGTTTGGGGACATACTCGGGGTTCATAAGGTGAACCTGTTCCAAAACAGAAGGGGAGAAGGTACCTTAGAAATGACACCTGGTCTTGGCTTACTCCCACTTACAAAACAAAGTCTCCGAGAGCTCACCAAGGTCTGCACAATCGCGTGGTTGGTTGCATTCATGTGTGCGTTGAGTGGGAAGGAGCATTCTCCATCACAGTAATTGGCAGCATAGCCCTTGGGTGCAATGATCCAGTCCTTAATTTCATGCAAAGGAAGCAACAAAAGATGAGCATGCACTTCTCACACTATTTGTGCTTTTCAGGAATGCTGTGAAAAGGTATTTTTCACATTGCACAGGCAAGGATACAGACGCAGGAAGGCTTAGGAATTTGTCCAAGTTCACATTCAAGTGGCAATGCTGGGAAGTGAACCTGGTCCATCTGACCCCAGAACCCTCGCTCCTTGCAGAGGCCCACAGGGCCTCAGCTGCTACCTGGAAGCACGTAGGTTGCCAGCAATATGTGCTTGGACCCAAGCAAGCCTCTCCAGGAGCCCACGGTGCTCCTGCGGAAGTAGTGCCACCTGCATATGGAAGCTACCTTTTATCGCTCACCACCTGTGATTAAAGTTGCTGCCTTTCTTACAAACTAGTGATGGTTCTCAGGTACGAGGCAAACGTGTGCTCTTCTGCATCGTTTGGTGAGCTGGTTTGCAGCCATTGGAGATGTTAACCATTAGGTAATTTTTTTCCAACCCTGTCTCAATTAAAATTTGTTTAAATGCCCAAATAAATGTATGTCCTATGGGCTTTGAAAGGATGAGGTGAGAATATTGGGAAATGTGGCTATTGATTTTTGAGGGATCACAGAGCTCAGGCACCCTAGGAAGGTGTTGGAGCGCCTGGTGCCCCACAGACTAAGCTTCCTCTGCCTTACTCCAGGAGCCTGAGCATTTGGGAGGGCTCCTCAGGACTTCCACAGAAGGAAGCAGCTCAGCCTTCAATCAAGCTCTGGGTGTTTGGTAATGGCTGCCACCATTCAGATGAGAGTAAACTGCTGAGAAAGGACCTTTATCCCCCGTGTCCAGAGAACTCACCTGCCATCCCAGGTCTTGGAAACTCACATACAGCTCATGCTTCCTGCAGGCTGTTTTCAATTCACTGCTGTTGTAATCTGTTGGAGGAGATCAAAAGATGCACCCATCAAAAGATGCACCCATCAACTCATTAATTCCTTCATAGAGAGTTTACCACATGCCAGGCTCTGTGCTAGGCTCAGGATAGCCTCCTAGATACAAGTATGGTCACCCAACAGCTACATCAGGTTCCTGACTGTTGGCTTGAATGTCTTACGGAATCCGTTTTGTCTACCCTGGGGTCAGTACTGGGAGCAGGGTGACTTGAATGGACACCCTTAAGCAACAGAGGTGTGTTGTGAGCCCTGCTGCATGCAAGGCCTATGGAGGCGTGGGCCGACTTGCCCAGTACACCCCAGAGGCGCCAGACCGGGAAGGCATCACATTCACATGATCAGACAACGCTACTAGGCAGGATTTGCTGCAGTCCAAACAGGGAGCATTTTGAAACTGCACAGGGGCTTTCAAGACAGCTGCCGGGCCAGAAGAGTATCCTGAAGGAAGAGTAATGGTGGAGTGGGGCCAAACCAGGAGGCCCAGGAACGGGGGAGAGGGAGACACCACGCAGGGGCAATGCTCTCTCTGGCTGTACTCCCACCTCACTGCCAGGGTTGAGCTCTTGTGTGCTGATGCAATAACACTAAGCCAGGGGTTCCTCAGGAGACTCTGCTGAAGTGCATGTACCCACCCTGTGCAGCACAGGGGCCACTAGCCTGGCTTAACTGAATCACCAGCAAGAGCACTGGGGGTGCCCCAATTCACTGAGGCCCACTGGAGCGACTCTTACGTGACATGCCTTCTGCCTGGCACCACGGCCAATAGACGGTAAGTCAGACATGGCTTTCCTCCCTCCAAGAACTCAGTGAATGAAGGGGTGGTGTAAAACAGACACACAAATAACTCCAATACAAACCAGAACATGGATGCTACGGGCAAAGGCCATAGGCAAATATCACACAGGCAAGGGCCATAGGCAAATGTCCCTTCAGAGAAGGGACAGTTCAGAGTGGGAGTGAGAGGAAGAGAGAGGAGTTCTGCTGGAATGGATTTAAGGATGTGTCAAGCAGGGTCGGATGAGATAAAGCTGGAGAAATGAATGGCCTAGGCTGCCAACCACAATGCTTCGGACTTCCCACCAGAGGCACAAAGTGAGCCTTTGCAGGGTTCTGAGCTGCAGAGCAGCATTTCCCGCTGTGATTCGAAAGGATTAATCCATCTGGAGTTGTGTTGGAGAGTTCGAGAAACGACGGAGAGAGAAAAGGCAAGGAGAAGGCTTTAGAGAAAGGTCATCTAATGTGGGATGTCAGTGGGTGTAAGAGCCTAGGTCATTTGCAGGCTATCCCTTCCCTTTTCAACTACATAAGCCAGTAAGTCACCTAATTGTTGAAAGCCTGTTTGAACTTGATTTTCTAACTTCTAACTCCCAGTCTTCCTGGCTCTGAAGCAGGAGAGAGCGTGCAGATTTCATTAATTTTTTTTTTTTTCTTTTGAGACAGAGTCTTGCTCTGTTACCCAGACTGAAGTGCAATGGCACGAGCTCGGCTCACTGCAACCTCTGCCTCCTGGGTTCAAGCGATTCTCCTGCCTCAGTCTCCCGAGTAGCTGGGACTACAGGCGCGAGCCACCATGCCCAGCTAATTTTTTGTATTTTTAGTAGAGATGGGGTTTCAACACATTGGCCAGGCTGGTCTCGAACTACTGACCTTAAGTGATCTGCCCATCTCAGCCTCCCAGAGTGCTGAGATTACAGGTGTGAGCCACCATGCCCCACCAGATTTCATGATTTTTTAAGGAAAAGAGACAGTGACTCAGGCCAGTGGCCTATACTGGGAGAAGAGATGGGGCAACTTTTTTAGGTGGTTTATAATTCTAAATTTATTTATCCTCTCCACCTGCCTATGTTACCCAACAGAACCACCCTGCCTTTAACTTTAAGGACCCCAGAGAAGCCCTGGAGGGAAATTTTCACAATGCAGGACAAGGACTCTCTCAGTAAAAACAATCAACCAACTATCACCATAAGACAGAAACTTCCTACTGAAAAGAACCCCTGAACAAAAATGAATCAGCCACACAAAGTCTCTCAAGAGGATGGCTGGAATGCAAGGGAAGACCCAGAGGACCCCAGAGACTGTGGATAAGAGTCATCTGAACTAAGCTCTAAAGGAAGAATACCAAAACAAAACAAAACAATAACAAAACTAAAAACAAAAACTAGAGGAAAAAAAAGGAAGAATACCTAAAATAATGGAAGGAAGAAAAGAAGGACTAGAAACCTTAAAACAAAATTATGGGGAAAAAACATGAAAAAAGAACAGGTAGATGTAAAAAGAGTCAAATAGAACTTTATAAAAACCATAACCATTGAAAATAACAATGAAATCAGATTAGATATAACTAAAGATCAGATTAAACAGGTTAAACATTAGTTGTCTAATTAACAGATTAAACAGATTACTTAACAGATTAGTTATACATTAAACAGATAATCATCAAATTACACATAACTGAAGACAGAATTAAAGAATTCAACAGTATATTTGAAATCTCTTCAAATATAGCACAGAATCAAATGGCCAAAATACATGACTGTCTCTTTGTAAAGAGACATGGAAGAGAGAATGAAAAGTCCAACAAATTTCTAATAGGAATTTCGGAAGGCAGTAATAGGGAGTAGTAGTATTTGAAGACATAATGACTGGGAATTTTCTACAACTAAAGAAAGGCAAACATCTTTAAGTTGAAAAGGCCCAAAGAGTTCCAAGAGGATCAGATAAATTCTTATCTAGCCACATGTAGTGAAATTATATCAAACACATAAATTCTTAAAAGTAATCCAGAGATAAAAAGAAAATTACTAAGAAACACAAAATGGATAGCAAACTTAACAAAAATACACATTAAAAAATTAAATAATATGAAAATGATGCCATCAAACCTAGAATGCCATACCCAGCTGTAGTGGATATTTACTGCTTTTGCTACCCAGCTTTTGGCAACACTTCGCATGTGGGGGAATGCCTAGATAGGTGGGACTCAGAGCCCCATTTCCCACGACAGATAGCTCCCCTCTTTGTCCCCTAGCATCTGAAGTACGGACTCATGACTTCATCAAAGCCAATCAAATGTCTCCACCCTGCAGTGTATAACCTGAGGGAGTGACTCAAAGGTGACATCAAGAATGGGTAGTACGGCAGCCAGTGTCTAGGGTGATGACCACATTGGAGGGATCCAAAGCACATTGTTCCATGACTAGATCTGAGCCTTGATTTCCTGAATTAAGTCTCCAGCCTTTTTGTTGATTGGGTAAGTTCCCTGGTACGCTTTTCTCTCTCATTACAGTCTGCTTCTACTGCATGCAATCTAGAGCACTGTGATAGTTAATTTTGTGTCAACTTGATTGGACTATGGAATGCCCAAGTAGCTGATAAAACTTTTTTTTCTGCAATGGGGTTTTGCTCTGTCACGCAAGCTGGAGCACAGTGGCACAATCATGGCTCACTGCAGACTTGACCTCCTGGGCTCAAGCAATCCTCCCACTCAGCCTCCCAAGCAGCTGGGACTACAAGAACGGGCCACCACAAGCTAACTTTTAATGCAGAGATGGGGACTTGCTATGTTGCCGAGGCTGGTCTTGAACTCCTAGCCTCAAGCAAGCCTCCTGCCTTGGCCTCCCAAAGTGCTGAGATTATAGGTGTAAGCTACTGAGTCTGGCAACTGTTAAGACATTATTTTGGGGTGTATCTGTGAAGGTATTTCTGGAAGAAATAAGTATTTGAGTCAGTAGACTGAGTAAAATAGACCTGCCCTCACCAACACGGATAGGTATCATCTCCTCGGTTCAGGGCCCAGAGAGAACAAAAAGACAGAGGAAGGGCAAATTCTCTTTTATCGAGCTGGGTCATTGTCTTCTCTTGCCCTGGGACATCAGAGCTCCCAGTTCCCAGGGCTTTGCACTTCAGGACTTATACCAGCAGCCCTCCCCAGTACTCAGGGCTTTGACTTCCAACTAGGACTTACACCACTGGCTCACCTGGTTCTCAAGCCTTTGGACTCAAGACTGAATTACACCACCAGCTTTCCTGGTTCTCCAGCTTGCAGACAGCAGCTCATGTGACTTCTTGGCCTCCGTAATTGCCTGAGTCAATTCCCATAATAAATCTCCTCCTATATATATATATATCTCCATATATCCTATTGATTCTGTCTCTCTGGAAAATTCTGACTAGTAAAAACCCGGACTAGCTAAATTATTATTCAATAGTTAGGGCATAGAGAGTACAGGGTGGCAAGTGTGCTATCTCACATAGCGTTGACAAGCTTGTCTGGATTTTTTTGTTTTTGTGGGTTTTTAAGAAATTTTTGAGACAGGGTCTCACTCCATTGCCCAGGCTGGAGTGCAGTGGTGTGATCATGGCTCACTGCAGCCTCCAACTCCTGGGCTCAAGTGATGCTCCCACCTCAGCCTTCCGAGTAGCTGGGTGTACATCACACACCTGGCCAATTCTTTAAATACTTTGTATAGATGGTGTTTCTCTGTGTTGCCTAGGCTGGTCCTGAACTCCTGGGCTCAAGTGATCTTCCTGCTTTAGCCTCCCAAGGTGCTGGGATTACAGGCGTGAGCCACCTCGCCTGGCCTTGTCTTTCTGTTAAGGTATCTTCTAAGCAAAAGAGGAGCCTTGGGAGTGAGGCATGAGGCCATCTGGGGTGAGAGAATTTCCTAGAGTGGGAATGACAATGTGAAGGCCCTGAGGAAGCAGCCTGCTTCACCTATTCCAGGAACAACCATGTGGCGGCTGTGATGTGTTTATTAGCAACCCACATCCTCTATCAACCTCCTGAGCACACAGCCAGATGACATTTCCCACTGCAGTTAGCTGTGGCCATGTGCCTGGATTCTGCCCATGAATGTGGGGAAGAAGGGATGTGTGGTGCTGCCAGGCCTGGCCCTCCTAACCACCTGCCCCCTACCCCATCAGCCTTCCACTCACTCTTTCCTCTCCTGCCAGCTGGGTGCAGCAGGGGAGTCTCCTGAAGACCCCAAGGTCCTAACGCCCTGCGCTCCTAAAGGTGTCCTGGGTTAGATTAGATGATAAACTGCATGATCACACAACTTACAGTCTTAGCCTGGGATTTTCCCCATCCAACCTCATTCTGCTTGTGAAGTAAGCTTCCTCCAAAATACCGTCTCGTGCTAGGGACCAAAATCTCCATGAAGACCATCTTGGCATCATTTGGTCATGTAAAAAGCAAAGATTTCTACAAACAACTTTCTTTCCCAGGTCAAGCAGACATGGGCAGTGTGAAAATAATAAATATATCTCTGGTCTTTGTCCCCAGTTCCTGGCACCAAGCTTTGACAACCCTTGGATTTTCCTGAGTGTCTTTGTTATGCTCCTGAGGCCCTAGATTGTACACGGTGAACCCCACACACTCTCTAGGACCTCATTAGCTTCAGGATGGGGGCTAGTTACCAAAAAAGCCAAGCACAGGATTAGGGGGTTGGAACTTTGGCTTAGCCTGGCCTCTGGGGGGCTGGAGATGGAGTTCAATCATGTGACCAATGATTCAATTGTGCAGAGCAATTAAACCCCACATAAAAACTCCAGACACTGAGGCTCAGTGGAGCTTCCAGGTTGGTGAACATACTGATGTTTCAAGAGGACGGTGCACCCAAAAGGGTGTGGAAGCTCCAACCACCCATGCCTATCCCCTTGACCTTGCCTAAGAGTCTCTTCATTTGGCTGGTCCTGAGTCATACCTCTTATAATAAACCTATGATTGTAAGTATAGCACTTTCTTGAGTTCTGTGAATTGTTCCAGCAAATTATCAAACATGAAGGGCGGTAATGTGAACTCCCAAATTTGTAGGCAAGACAGACAGAAGCATGGCTGCCCTGTGGACCTCACTTGTGCCTGGTGTCTGAAATGACAGCAGTCTCCTTGGGGACCTTGCCCTTTCACTTGGGCCTGTGCTAACTCCAGGTGGCATCAGAATTGAACTGAGGCCAGATGTGGCGCCTCATGCCTGTAATCCCAGCACTATTGGAGGCTAAGGTGGGAAGACTGTTTGAACCCATGAGTTTGAGATCAGCCTGGGCAACACAGACCCTGTCTCTACAAGATATAAAATTAGCTGGACATAGTGGTGTGTGCCTGTGGTCTCGGCTATTTGGGAGGCTAAGGTGGGAGGACTGCTTGATCCCTGGAGATTGAAGCTGCAATGAGCCCTGATTATGCCACCATACTCCAGCCTGGGCGAGAAAGCAAGACCCTGTCTCAAAAAAAAAAAAAAAAGAAAAAAAAAGAATTGGATTGAATTGCAAGACACTTAATTGGTGTTGAAGAATTGCTGGCAGAACACAGGCAGAGACCACCACTTCATGTCTGGATTTCCAGTTTCTTTTTCTGCTGGATGGAACCAAGATGACATAGTCAAAGGGCTTTGCTTCTAACTTCACCAGCAGTTCTGGGTTTCTGTGAACCTGCTGTTGATTTGACTCTCTCAATGCTCAACAAAGAGAACCTTCTCTGGAAGAACAGCTATTTCTTTTAGCGCCAGACACTGGCATTTTTGTCATTAAGTAAGGATCAGGGCCAGAGAGAGGAAAAGGAGGAATTCAACTCTCCTGTTTTTCTTCCTACAGATACTCTCAGGCCATGCTTAAATTTCCTTATAATTCCATGTTAAGTGCTGGCAAAGAACGTATAAATATTTATGAAGGTTGATGCTCCTTGGAATACTTGTGTCTGCCACTCAGGGTCAGTACCCTGGGTTCTGCATGGAATTATACTGACACACTTTTTTTTTTTTTTTTAAACAGATTGACAGATTACAGATTACAGAAAAAACTTTCCCCTCACTCCCACTGCCCCTGGTATTGGTTTTGATGAATGGGCTGAAGAGGGCCAGTGGAAATGTATGTGGTGACAATTCAACAGGAACATGGTCACTCCAGTGGGACAAAGAGAGGTAACACAGCTTTGCCCCAGTGGATTCACCAGTCAAGGGCAGGGCAGAGAAAGGAAGTGAGACAGCTAGAGAGAGGCGACAAACCAAAAACCAGAGAAGCTGACCCAAGACAGAGGAGCCTCCCCCACCACCCCCGCCGCCAGGACAGAAGCTCTCAGTGTGTGACTTGTAGGTGGCCTGTGCCGAATACTGGGGATCATCAGGGAGTTTCTCTAAAGTGCGGGGTTCTCAGCTCAATCCCAGACCCATGAGTCAGAGCCACTGAGATCAGGCCCCTGGCTGTCCACATGCGCCTGTGACACCAGAATTGGAACTGCTGCCCTCTAGACAAGAGGCTCACACACAGGTAGCGCTACTGCCCTGCTGAGACACAAAGTCTGTCTTGGGACCCCAAGGCTCCCCAGCATCCCCAGACACAGCTGCAGTCAAGGCCCAATATTGGTCCTGAGAGACATTTTCAAGGGCTCTGGCTTTTTCAAAGTTGAATACACAGTGAAATCTGGTCCCCCTCAAGGGCAGGGGCACCAGCCGCCCAGAGGCAATTTTCCCCCTCAAGACAAGGCCCCAGGTGCTCATCCAGGGCAACTTGGACAAGCAGGGCCCAGCCATAGGTGGGTTTGGGCAAAAAACTGTTGAGTGATCAGGTGACACAGATGACAAAATCCAACAATCATAAAAGCCCCCCCAGGACGAATTCCTTCCATAAGCAGAAGGTAACTCCCTGGCCTGCTCTTACACAGGCAGAAACATTCCTCTCACCAAAGATTTCTGAGCTTTGAGAATGTATCAGATGTTAATTGCCTTTAGCAGCGCGGCTTTCAGTCCCATTTAATAAACTGCTTCCGCAGGGAAACCTTCAGGTACAATTAGTATTAAAAAGCCCAAATCCTTCCTCTCTTCTCCAAATGAACATTACAGATATTTGAACATGGGTTTTAAGTGGAGATTTTTCTTTTCTAGCACCAGAGTTGAGTTCTAATTTGTCCTAAAGCCACTGAAGCAAAAACCATGATAAAATATTCTGCTTTCCTTTATAACCCCTCAATACACACACACACACACAAAACTATTTGTAGGAAAAAAATGGCTTTGGACATGAGATGTAAATGGGTTTCCTCTCACAGTGTGGGACAGGCAAGTGGGGCCCATGATACAGGAAGCTTCTACAACTCCCTTCGGGGATGGAGATGAACTCTAAAGATCCAAGACAGGCCGGGCGCGGTGGCTCACGCCTGTAATCCCAGCACTTTGGGAGGCTGAGGCAGGTGGATTGTTTGAGGTCAGGAGTTTGAGACCAGCCTGACCAACATGGTGAAACCCTGTCTCTACTAAAAATACAAAAAATTAGAGGGGCATGATGGCACATGCCTGTAGTCCCAGCTACTCGGGAGGCCGAGGCAGGAGAATTGCTTGAACCCGGGAGGCAGAGGTTGCAGTGAGCTGAGATTGTGCCACTGCACTCCAGTCTGGCAACAGAGTGAGACCCGTTTTTTTTTGTTGTTGTTGTTGTTTTTTAAAAAAAAGATCCAAGACAGACATGCCTGTTTCCCCTAAGGAAGGTTCTTCAGCAAGACTCTCCATGATCTGTAGTGGAAAAGAAGGTGGCAGAGACAGGCACCATCCCCCTCAGAAGGAGAACAGAGTTGGGCAGAGAGGTCCCAGCTGTGGTGCCCAAAGCGTGTCTTTATGAAGCCTTTATGTTTCCAATACGTTGCCTTCATTTTTCCAATACTTTGCCAAAGGGAGGCTTGCATCTCATTTAGGCCTTCTGCACGATGCAATCAGTGGTAGAGAAACAGGTAGAAGTGTCCCATCCATTCCCGATGGCGGGACCATGTGGAAGTGCCTGCCATTTTCTACCATAAGAGACCGGGGTGTTCCAATCCAGAATTCACCTCGGAATAAAGCATCAGGTCCAGCCATGGCTCTGAAATCCCTCTCCCAAGCCCCAGGTGTGTCTTTCATTATCTGTCATTCCTCCATGTTACCTGGGGGCCAGTACACCTGGGAGGGGTTGGGGGCTAACTTGAAAGGAGCCATATGGAGGTGCATTTTTCTGGAGTCCAGCGGATGGGAGGGAGGACACAGTGATGGAGTCTTCTTGTCCTTGAGACACAACTGAGCTTTCACATCTGAGAGTCCTGTTCTGAGGGTGGTGGTGGAGGGGCCATAGCTCCCTTCCTGGGGGCCATCAGGGGTACATGCTGCAGCTCCCAGCACACACGCCTCTGGCTGATCCCCTTTCTCTGTCCTCTAGCATCTTCCTGCCCTTGCTCCTCCTGTTGCAGGTGCACGTTCCACACAGGCTCTGCTGAGCTCCTACAGTCTGCTCAGTTCTGGTGGGGAGTTCTCATCTCAGTTGCTAGGCCTTGGACCTGACAATCAGCTTCCTTGCTGATAGCCTCTGCTCCCCGACCTTAAGTCCTGGTCTCCCCTGTGATGACTGAGGAGACATTCCATCTACAGGAGAAAACAAATGGGAAGGCTGCCGGGGCCCATGTGACAGTGACGGGGCAGGGCATCCTAATCGTCCCAAGGCAAACTGAAAACTGCAGAATAGCTCTCTCATCCAGTGCAGTGAGGACAGGGCACCCTTGGCCCCAACAGAAGGCGGCTAGCTGGGCTGGGACTTCCTCACAGAAGCCATGTCCCCAGGCAGCGGCACATGCACTGTATACATTGCCTATACCCCCAATGCAGGGGTCATACCCCACACTAAGCATAACATCTGGGTTAATTCCATCCAGCATCCTTTTTATCTGGCCCTCCTGAAGAGCCACGCACACAGCGAAGTGCAAAGGAGCCCACTGTTGGTTAGCTCTGAAGCTCAATCCCTATATGCCATGATGGGCCAGTGACAGGCAGGCTTCCCTGGCACTGGAGGCCAGGAGAGGCCCATAGGTATGAGACCCAGAGGAGAAGGGAAGGGCGCAGCCACCATCCTGACTCTCAGGCAGGCATTGTGCGGGGAGGCTGCACCGCGGGGCTGGAGGGCCACCACGCAGCTGCTGCTGTGAGTATGACGGGGCTAGGGCGCTGCAGCAAGCCTGTGGGCTCCCAGGGGGGGTGCGCCTGAGTCACGGCAGCCAGAGCCAGCCTGGGTCCCAGTGACCCTGCCTGCTGTGCTTTGCAACTTCAGTAGAGGAGGACAGCGAAACAAAGGGCAAGACAGGGAGAAGGGAAACAAAGGCAGGGGAGAGAGAATGTCAGGGACACCACAGAAAGCAGGTGAGAAGGAGGGAGAGGGAGAGAGGTGGGGAGGGAGAGGGAGAGAGGTGGGCAGGGAGTCGTCTCCTCACCAGGGCTTCTGCAGAGGGGCCACTCGGCTGCCCTGGGCTGACCCCGCAGGCCCTGCCAGCTCAGCCGGGTGTCCCCGCTCAGCAGGTCACACAGAGCCAAGAAAATACCAGCATGGCAGGGGACTGGACAAAGCGGCATGCTCCACATGTATTTCCCAGCTTTCCTGAGCTCAGGCTACAGACTCTTCCCAAAGGAAACTTGTTTTTTAGAGGGAATAATTCACTACTTTAATTTCCCTTCTCTCCTAGAATGACAAGGGTGAGGGCCACATAGAGGTCGTTAAAGTGGCACCTCTGTCTTCATGGGCCTGGCCGCTCTTTCCATATCTCTGGGCCTTATCGGCCCCATCTTATCCAAAACAAGCCTCTCGCTCCCACTCGCCCAGCAGAATCAATACAGCCATTGAAGAACGCGCAGCAGGTGCCAGCTCCTTGTGTCACCGACACTACGGGAGGCCAGGGACCACACTGGGGTTTTGATTTCTGGTGTCAATAATCTCCTAACAGTTGATAGGGCTGGGGTGGGGGTGGACAGTTTGATCAGAGTCTAGATTTTGTTTATAATTTGGATGGTCAACATTGAGAAGCAACAGTGAGGCCCTATTTTTTGGTTGCTCCAGGAGATTTCAGGATCTCATAAGGCCCCATTTAATCTGGGTGGGACTTTGGTCTCTTTTCAGCCTTTGTCTTGATTCTAAAAGAATATGGAACTGTCCTGCAAATAGACAAAGATTTCCTTTAAAAACTTAGCTCTAAGACCCTCTGTGCTCTAAGCACCTTCTATACTCTCTGCCACTTCCTAGACTGAGTCTCCTGGCCCCAGTGCCCTCCCAGGGTTGGCAATGATTGGGAATGACTTAGGCATCTCACGGTACCTGCATAAGCTTCTTCTTATTGCCTTTTAGAATTGTTGCCATTTGCACATTTGCAAGGAGTGAACCTTGGGAGGAGGTAGAAGGGAACTTTCCAGTCTGTTCCACTCTTTGATAGCCATTATCCTCGAACAAGAGTTGTGCATGATAGAAGTGAAGCTTTTGATTCTAACTTTTTTTTGGTGATTCTAACTTTTAGATCACTATTTGCCATGACTGTCCTCCATGTCTATGGAGAATTAAGGTTTGATTTCATATAGGAAGCCCTGAACCAAACTCTACTTAAGACATCTGCAAGCCAAGCTGCAGGCCCTAAAAGTTTAAGATCACAATGACAAATCACAATTCCCAACTTTCCTGGAGAACTAGAAACTGCTAGTTCACAGTCTTGACCTGTGTCTATTCTTCCCAAGCTTTGAATGTCCATGGTGGACCGACCCAGTCAGCTCTGGCTATCCCCAATCCATGGAAGCCAATGGTGAAGTAGTGAGGACACTGTAACAATGAGACCCCCAGTCTGGACTGGATTTCCTTGAAATGTATAGCACAAGATTGCACAGTTATAATAAACTACTCAAACAGCTGTTTTGCAAGAGATGACTCCTGGTTAATTTACGCTGAAAGCCTATTGAATAGTCCCAACCGGGAAGCTTAAAGGACAGAAAATATAAACTATCAAGAAGAAGGTCAGGAGTATCCCTGAATGTACTAGAGCCACAATTTCCCCCAAGGTCCTTAAAGATACATGTTTGGGGGTGGGAAAAGGAGGGAAGGAGAACTTACTCTACAAAATGCTGGCCAGATGTGGTGGCTCATACCTGTAATCCCAACACTTTGGGAGGCCGAGGCAAGTGGATCACTTGAGGTCAGGAGTTTGAGACCAGCCTGACCAACATGGTGAAACTCCGTCTCTACTAAAAAAATACAAAATTATCCAGGAGTAGTGGTGCATGCCTGTGATCCCAGCTACTTGGGAGGCTGAGGCAGGAGAATCGCTTGAACCCGGGAGGAGGAGGTTGCAGTGAGCTGAGATGGCACCATTGCACTCCAGTCTGGCCAACAAGAGTGAAACTGTCTTAAAAACAAACAAACAAAAAAGAAATGCTAATAGGTGGCATTGATACAATGGCAGACTCATTCCAAAGGACAGACAGTGTCTCAAGAGGCTGCTGGGTCATAGATGGTTGGCAGAGCTGGGTAGTGACAACATAAACATCAAGACTGAAAGAGACTACTCCAATTTCACATGGATCATTAAAGTGCAGATAATGTTTCCAAACTCATCTATCAAAACAAAGACCAATTCTGCCTCACAGCAGCAGCAGCAGAGCAGACTTCAGACTTACCAGCTGACCTGAAATTGCTTTAGCTACACCCTCTCAAAAGAGGTCTTGGAAAGATCCGGAAAATTAGCCAAATGAAAATTTAGAATCACCCAATGGAACTTCAAGGCCATTTGTTCATGGACCTTGTCATGGATTGGCCAAGTGGTATCACAGTCCCCCAGAAGATAAAATAGTGAACCCCAAGTGAGAGCTACCATAAAAGAGAGTGAATGATAACAAGTAGAAGGAGACCACCAAACTGGAGCTATAGAACCTGAGGACAGGTGTTGCAAGAGCAGCAGGCTGGTAAGAAATGGAGGCTGAAAAAGAATTGGTAGATTGGTTAAAATCCCCAATGGGGCAAAGACGGCTAGGACCAGGACTAGTCAAACATGTGTAAAAACAATAAATGATACCATGCAGAGGCTATCCAAGCCCCTGGAGAAGTATAACAGAGCCAACCAACATCCAGCCTTCATTTAGAGCAGCCAGCTGCAGAGAAGCAAGGGCAAGTGAAAGCCATCCAGGGAGACGTCGATCCAAACCACTATCCAGTGCACATGTTTGGAAAGTCCAGCTTGAAAGCCAAGTACAAATGTTTGAGTAGATTTTGGTGGGTGGTGGGGCTCCTGGCCTCTCCACTGCTGTGCACTAGTCTTGCCGTCTCAGGCACTGACAGCACAATTCCAAAAATAGCCTCTTATTTCCTTGCCACGTTTCACCCTGATGACAGGCAATTTGATGAATGAATGCTAACTTCTTTACCCAGATGTAGGACGATCCCTGGTGGGCTGCTTCTGGTGGTGGTTGTTTTGGTGGAGAACTATCAACTCCCTGGGAGCACGCCATGGAAGAAGGGGGCAGCAGAGACAATGCAATCTTTTCCTTCCAACTTCCAAAAGATTTACAAGCAGAAAGTCTGCCTGCAGTCACGCCAGAGTACACCACTTTTCTGTTACTGTAATGTCTACCTGGTTCATGAAGGCCCAGCAACATCTGGCCTCACAGAGACCCCGAGGGAGAGGAACACCAGACAGGCCATTTCTCCAGGTAGCAGGCCATCTCTCTGGAAATCTTTTCTGGGAATCTCTTCCTCAGCATGTCCACTCCCATTAATGGAAGAATAGATAAGGAAGAAAGAGCCAAAAATATAAAGAAGCGCTTCAGTGGGCCAGACATGAGCAATTTCCCAGATCACTTAGAGGATCTTTGAAGAGAATGAGAAGGAGGGAGCATCCTTCATCGTCATTCTTTCTTGGGGGCCTTTAAATAGGTGAGACCGGAGAGATTTCGTATGAACCCTTTTGCCTTTGTACTACTGAAAGGGACAAAGCAAATTTGGAAGTACTGGCTTGGGAGGTGGGCGGGGGGAGACCACTGAAAAACAGAGATATTTGCACCTATTACTAATTAGATCAACTTGAATATCCATATTTAATTTAAACTCATCAAATTGAAAAAAGTTGAAAGGGACTTGGAAAATAATAATTGGTTGATATTGCTAAAATCAAAATCAGACACAACATCTTTTCTCAATTTAAAAACATTAGTGTGTGCATTGGGTGGGGGGTACTGAATAAAATCAAGTGAAGTTTTAATTTTAAAAAGCAATCAACATTTCAAGAGATGCCTCTGTGTCTGAGGTCCCAGCACCAAACTGACCACAGTTCATTAATAAATTGAAGCCTACCATTGGCAGACTTCCATTAATAAATTGAAGCCTACCATTGGCAGACTTCATCATCATAGCCCGAAGGAAAACACTGAGATTATTAACTCTGTTCAGCAGGCTGCCTCTGAAGTGAATAAAGGAAAGCAAGCATTTCTTCTCTTTTTCAAAAACCCCAACCCTGACTGTTTCTAGTGGTGAATACAGGAACACCCATGCTGTGAGCAATGCTTCCGAGAAACACCAGGATGACAAGAAGCAAAATGTCACATCACGCTGGGCGGTGGATCCTCAAGCTCCACATCCAAGTTACTGGTAAAATAGATGGTTGATTTAAGTCGGAACACAAAATGGAGACACTGCTTCCCAAAGAAGAAATAGGTACTTTGGGAAGTTGCATTAACTCTTCCCAACATGTTTGGCCACCAAAAATGACATTTCTGTACAATTACCTGGAAGAATTAATGCATCTTCCAGAATTATTTTACTTGTTTTCCAGGGATCCCAACATATGCCCTGAGAACCTACTTCCTACAATGGCATATAAATAATCTTTGAGTGCTATTATGAGCCAGATTTTGATGCTTTTCATTTAATTCCAGCAAATCTGCAAGGCATTCATCATCCCCATCTTACAGATGAGTAAATGGAAGCTGAAACAGATTAAATGTGTCCAAAATCACAGGGTAGCAACCAGGGAAACAAGTTCTCTGGCTGCAAATCCCACTGCCAATCTTCACCTTTATGGTTGATTCTCAAGCTATTTAAATAGCCAAAGGACCCCAGAATTTGCAAGCACTGGCATTAGAGTCAGAAGTGTCTGGGTTTCCATTCAATCCTAACTAGCTACGGGACTGGCTGTGGGGAGGGAACATCCACTCTCCCTTCCTCTGGGCTTCCATGGGTGGACTTCCATGCCACTTCCTAAAAACACACTGGGGAGAACTTTTTTTTTTTTTTTTTCGATGGAGTCTCGCTCTGTCACTCAGGCATAATCTTAATCTTGGCTCACTGCAACCTCCACCTCCTGGGTTCAAGTGATTCTCCTGCTTCAGCCTCCCAAGTAGCTGGGATTACAGGCACATGCCACCACACCCAGCTAATTTTTTGTATTTTTAGTAGGGATGGGGTTTCACCACGTTGGCCAGGCTGGTCTCGAACTCCCAACCTCAAGTAATCCGCCCGCCTCAGCCTCCCATAGTGTGAGGATTATAGGCATGAGCCACTGCACCCTGCCAGGGAGAACACTTCTGAAGGACCACTCAGCTGACACTCAGGTAGCAGAGCTGGTTTCTCTCTCTTGCCCTTTGAATGTGTCTGTTCTGAGCAGAATGGGACTCACCTTATTCCTTAGCTCCCGGGTGAGCACACAGTTCAGGTCTGGCCAATCAGAGCACTCCCCACCCAGCAGTGTGCTTCAGGTTGGAGGACGCAACCCCAGCCAAGCCAACCGGAGTCGTGCCCTGGATTTCTGCTGAAGAAGGGCTCTGTCTGAGGTTGAGGTTGCCAAGGGTAACAAAAATCCTGGAACCACTGGTTGCCTTCCTGGCCACCATATAGAGATAGTTTTACTAAGAATTCCACCAACAAAGAAAAATAGAAAAACAGAAAAAGAGAGAGATTCCTGATTATCATCTGAGCCCATGGATCCAGCCATGCCTAAAGACAGAACCCCTGGCCAGGCGCAGTGGCTCATGCCTGTAATCCCAGCACTTTGGGAGGCCAAGGTGGGTGGATCACGAGGTCAGGAGATCGAGACCATCCTGGTCAACATGGTGAAATCCTGTCTTTACTAAAAATACAAAAAATTAGCCAGGCGTGGTGGCAGGCACTTGTAGTCCCAGCTACTCGGGAGGCTGAGGCAGAAGAATGGCATGAACCCAGGAGGCGGAGCTTGCAGTGAGCCGAGACCGTGCCACTGCACTCCAGCCTGGGCGACAGAGGGAGACTCTGTCTCCCAAAAACAAACAACAACAACAAAAAAACCCTCAACCTCTCCATTAAATGAGCCAAAGAAATCCATCCTAGAGGGCTGAGTTGACCTTCCTTCCCTTCCAGCCAAGAGCACTGACAAATACAAGTTCATATTACACAACTGTACCAAGTTCGCTTGCACATCATAACCCCCCAGCATAACGCAACTAGAAAAAAGAATCTAGGTGCTCCCAGGGTTTTGATGGGAATTTAAAAAAGAGTTGGAGAAATGTAACCAAACAGAAAGATGCTTGTCTGGATCAACAGGCAGTCATGATGCGGGCAGCCTGAGTCTTCAGGTAACAAGTGTTCCAGGCTGAGGGCCCTCAGAACCCACGCAGATGTTCTGCGACTGTACAAGGTACCATCATGCATATGACACCTATTTGCCTTTGGATTTGCTGTGCAGAAGCTGCCCGACATCTGAGACTGTGGACACAACTTTTGTTCTCACTGAGGCCAACAAGGCTTTCTGGAAACACAGGCTCCCCACAAACCCACCTGAAGCACTGGAGACCCGCGCCACGTCCTGGGACTGGGTAGAGCGATTACGACTCTGTTGTCGGCGCCGGCTGGAGGCTGACCTGGTGGTGCGCACGTGCACCTCACTCACTTTGAAGAAAGCCACCATGAAGGGCTGCTTGTCGTAAGGGCCGTCTCTGCCCACCAGGCCTGCGGCTCGGGGGTGGACGTGGACTCCTTTAATGCAAATCAAAGCATGCATCTCTTTATTCCACAGAAACTTGTTCCTGTAGCTACAACAGTTAAGGGATACTTCCTAGTTTCCTAAGTGCTAATCCTTAAGAATGAGTGTGAAGAAGAAGATCATGTATCCCCAAACCTTGCCTGGCACCCATGGGATGGCATCTTTTGGCAGAATCAAAGCACTCCTTTCAAAGTTTCAGAATCACATGAAGGAGTGGCGTGAACTCCTGGGCTCTCCTGTTTCTGCTAGATTATGAATCTGCAGTTACCCTGCCCTCCCTGGTGGACAGATCAGCAGTGGGGACCTCAAGCTGCTGGCTCTGATGCTGCAGGAGGAGTGGGTACTGCAAACCTGTTCATCCGTCAGGATTTAAACAGATGCGCCTGCCTCTCTCTTACTCGCTGCATCCCCCGCAACCTGCCTCTGCCTAGAAAAGCTGTCCTCCCATCGCCATCCTCTTGGAAACATTACCACTCTCCTGTCTCCAAGTTGCCCAAGCCTGTTTTCAATTCCTGTCTAGGAGGCCTCCGGGAAAGGTTTTGGTTCTCAATGCAAGTCATGGGGGATCAGTAAATGAGGCCATCCTGAAGCTGAGGACTTGCCTGTTGCCCACGGTTCTATCACAACTGCTGTAAGGGAAATGTGTGAAACTGATGACTTGCTGGACGTTGGAGGCTTGCGGATAATAACTTACCATCCCTTGTCACCACGCTCAGCTGAAGCCCCATGTTATGCTGTGGAGTCACAACCCACAGATTGCTAGTGGCCGTGATGTCAAATTCCAGCCAGCCTTCTTCTGAGGCCCATACTACACGGGTGTCCAACAAAAACAGGTCAGAGTCTCTGAAAGAAAGAAAAAATGGCCTGGTAAATAGCGCACTGCCTGAAGCTCCTTCCCACTCTTTCCTGTCTCAGCGTCAGGATAAAACATGCCCGAGTCAGATCACATCTACCTGTGAGGCACAAGCACAGTGACTTGCCATAGCCCTGAAAGGCGTGGTACCACCCAGGACACAGGCATGACACAATTAGGAGAGACAGGCACATCTGATAAGGCGCTTCATAGAAATCAGCTTTCACCCCGACACGGCAGACCCTCTCAACTTTACCAAAAATCTTGCTAGTGCTGCTTATGACAGATCTTTTTGCGAATTAGGATAAATTACAAATAAATGATTTTTTAAAAAACTTTTTTATTTTTTTTTTTTTGAGACTGGGTCTCACTCTGTCACCTAGGCTGTAGTGCAGTGGCATTTACATTTTAATACTTCTATTATGTTTTAAAAATTTATTTATGATACTATTAGTGACTAGCTTACTTTATGGCTAATAAGCTCTAAAAACAGGGAAAGTAGGAGACAGCGAGAAACAGGATTGAGAAAAGATAAAAATCAGGATCCATATGAGCATTTATAAACTGGGCTTTGCTCATTTTTTCTTGTTTTGAAATTGGGACTGAAAATCTTCTCGTTTGTTCCTATGAAATAAGGAGAAACAAGAAGCCACATCGCATGCCTAAGTAATCATCTACTATTTTAATTAAGGCCTCTGAATGGTCTGCAGTGAGTACCCAGTCCTTCCCCATATGGACTGTGTAGCCGAGGGTGGATGCTGAGTGATTTTAAAGTTCATCCCAGCACAGTGGTGAGCTACAGCTGGGGTTCTTTGAGGCAAAGTCAGAGAATCCATTCCTTCCATTAGGCCCTTCAGGGAAGACTGACTTTTTCACAGTTTTGAACTAACATAATCAAGGGGCTGTGGGATGACGGTGTGAGGGTCTCCTTCTGCTCACCTGCATTTTATGATAGGTCAGTGCCAGGAGATGGTCATCTTTAGGGACAATCTGAATCTGCGTATCCATCCCATGGCCACTAGAATGAGATGGCCTGGGATTCCCATGACAGGGAGGGCTATATTTTGGCCATGGAAAGACTCAAAGCTCCTGGTATTGGAAATATTTTGCTGCAATATCTTACAGAGATAGAAAAACGACTAAAATTAAATACTAAGTTTAAGATAAGCATACATTTACATAAGTTACAAAGTGCTTTCATCTACTTCTCTTTGTTTGGTCCTTACACCAATCCTAAAAGCCAGGCAGAGTGTCACGGTCTCCACCTTACAGCTGGGGAACCTGAGACTCAGACACAAGGCTACCGTCATATGTGGTCAAGATCTCAAGCTAGCAAGTGAAAAAACAGGACCTAGTTTTGGATTCAAAGAGCTTTCCATAATAACATACTGTCTCATTGAGATGATTACCAAAGACGACCTGTGATGAATGAATGAACTTCATCTTTAATCCATCAAATACTTACGAGGCCAGTGAAACATCAAGTTCAAATGGTTAGATTTCTCAGAGGAGGAGCGAACAGTTTCTCCTGCCTCCATGGCCACTTAAAGTGAGAAGGGAACTCTATTGTCGTCTTTCCCAAGTATAAACAGTAGGCACAGTTAAAAGTCATTTACTCAGCTGCTTAACAGAGTCTGCGGGAGGCCACATTCTGGCCTGCCCAGTTGAAAGCTCTCTCTGATGTGGATGTGTCACATCCCCTGTTGACAAATTACCCCCCATCACTGAGGTAACAACTGTGAGCAGGGAGATTGCGGGGGGTGCGGGGGGTGTCCATGGAAAACAGCAAGCAGAGACTGGAAGGCCAAGGCTTTGAAGTCAGATGTAAGAGGACATCAATTCTGTTCTGGAAGGTCACAGAAGACCCTTATCCAGCAATAACACAGACAGTACAGACAGCACTGTGGGAAAGTAGCCCCGGTCCCAGAGGAAGCACGGCACACATCGGTGTCACGGGCAGAATGTGGCTGGCACTCTCTAGCACCAAGACCCAGTGGGAATCTCGGGGGTAAGGCTGCCCTCAAGGCGGGGCCCGTGAGCACATGCCGAGTTACCTCTGATGACTAGATTAGGCACCTACATTTTAAAGACTTATAATAAGGATACAGAGAAATACAGTTCAAAGCGTGAGGGTAGCACAGCTGGCAGAATGAGCTTTTATTTTTAAAGATCAGGGTCTGTGATAAAGAAAATGGCAGCCTCGTCCAAGAGAATGTGGGGAATGAGGCAGACGCACATCATCCAAGGAGGAGGAGGAAAACAGAGAAGAGCAGAAAGAGAAGGAATGAATTAAAGAGGGAGAACATGAATCAAAAGTTAAACTTGGGGCAAAGGCGGAAGATGAGGATTACCCATCATGACATGAAGCAATTGCACCTACGGGGTCAGTGCAGATTCGTGGATGTGGAGAGCCCAGTTTCCATCCCGACTCTGCTACCGAGTCACTCTGGGGCCCCATGAATTTGCGTTGTTCTGTGGCACACTTTTGTAATCGTACAATGAGAACACTGACTGTTCTCACTGCTTAAGAAGCTTGTGAGGTCAACAAGTGCAGTCTAGTGGCCGAGCCTTGAAAGATGAAAACTCTATGTGGTCCTATGGCAGCGAGGAAGGCTTGGACTTCAATGTTTAGATCTAGGATGCTCGGGGCCTCTGGAAGGGAAGTGAGGCAGAGCATGGACTTAAGATGATTGGGCCAAGTGGGACAGAGGAACAGCGAATATTGACTGTGTCAACAGCCTTTATTCCTCAGGACAGCCAGAAAAGGCAGGACCTATGTCATCTCTTCTACAGCTGAGCCCCCAGAGAGAGTCTCAAGGTCACATGGCTGTTAAGTGGGGCAAATGGAATTTAATCAGGGCCCAGGTCCTTAGCCGTCACATATCTAAAAAGTAGAGTCATGAAGCAGACAGGGCAGAGGCTGAAAGTACTGTCCAAGGGCTCAGAATAAAGTAAGGGACCAAAGTCTACCACATACAAATGCTAAAGTCAGCTGGATACAGAAAATACAATAAGATACACAGGACAGGCACAGGTTAAAAATCACCGGTTGGGAAGGCTGGGTGTGGTGGCTCATGCCTGTAATACTAGAACTTTGGGAGGCTGAGGCAGGAGGATTGCTGGAGGCCAGAAATTTGAGACCAGCCTGGGAAACATGGCGAAACCCTACCTCTACAAAAAAATACAAAAATTTGCCAGGCATGATAGTGTACTCCTGTAGTCCCAACTACTCGGGAAGCTGAGGCGAGAGGATCACCTGAGTCCGGGGAAGTGGAGGCTGCAGTGAGCCATGATCGCACCTCTGCACTCCAGCCTGGACGACAGAGTGAGACCCTGTCTAAATAAATAAATAAATCGATCACCAGTGGGCCTCCCCCATCAGGGTCAGGTAGGTATGAGAGTGCGTGCAGGAAGGCGCCCGAGGTGGCTGGTGTCAGCTGTAGATGGTGGCATAGTGGTGGAGCCCCAGTGACCCTCCCAATCTTGCTCTGCTCCTTCCAAGCAGAATATGCTGCGCCCAGCATGAGAACATCACTAATATGTTCACACCACGAGGGAGAGGAACTTGAAAAAGGAATGAAGCTTTAAGACACAACTTTATGGGCTCACCCTCAAAGCTTCCAACAACTCAGATATTGAAGAGATGCTGTTGATGACAAATCACTAAAACGGTTCTGGTCTGACCCACATGTACTAATGTTTCCTCAGGGATACATGGCCTTCCTAGTCTGCGGACTGTAAAAGTGTAGCCTCGAAGAAGATGCATCTGATTTTGCCACGTGAAAAATAAGCTTTCCCTTCTAAATCTCACTTTGGCAGAGTTCAGAAGAGATGTTCTCACCTAAAATGTGTGTCACTGATAAAGAATCCTAGAGACTGGCCAAAATCATCACCATGCCTAGATTACTTGGACCTTCCTATTGAGGTGACATACTCTCAAGGTGGCAAACCACGAAAGAAAATCTTGAAACAAGGGAAGATAATTTTTAATGCAGTTATTGACTATTTTGTTCTCAACTAACTCAGACCCTACATTTGCATGATGAATACGCTTCCAATCTTCAAGGATGTAACAGTGTTACTCTTCTCAATGTTATTCCAACCTCAGAGCGTGATATTCCTCACATTGTGGTCATCCTGGGCAAATGAGGTTCTTAACAAATTAATATGCTAGTAAGATATTTCTGGAAAATTTCAAAAATTCACCCTGGCTTTAGAGTTGATGAATCAGAAAGCCACTCATAAAGACTAGTAGAATTGGTGTTTGTGGGCAAGATTTATCCCTGCATATCCCTCCCATCACACAGCCTCCAAGGCACATGCTCACATCAGTGATACACCACTGGGCTGACAGAGAGCACCATTGCCAAAATACAGCAGGCCTTTCTCTCCTTTGCCCTCGGACAAGGGCAGGAGGTGCCTGAGCTCCTGGTGGACAGGCTTCGACCCTTTCCTGACAAACCACACACCCATCAAGGTCACAATGCCGGGGTCAAAGTACAACAGTGTTTACTACTAACCATTTTGATAGAAAAATGCTCTTGAGGCCGGGCGCGGTGGCTCACGCCTGTAATCCCAGCACTTTGGGAGGCCGAGGCGGGCGGATCACGAGGTCAGGAGATCGAGACCATCCCGGCTAAAACGGTGAAACCCCATCTCTACTAAAAATACAAAAAATTAGCCGGGCGTAGTGGCGGGCGCCTGTAGTCCCAGCTACTTGGGAGGCTGAGGCAGGAGAATGGCGTGAACCCGGGAGGCGGAGCTTGCAGTGAGCCGAGATCCCGCCACTGCACTCCAGCCTGGGCGACAGAGCGAGACTCCGTCTCAAAAAAAAAAAAAAAAAAATGCTCTTGATAAACTGGCATTTATATATTCAAAGTAAGCAGATTTATGAAATACTCAGTAAGGTGATTCTGTGGTCTTGTTCTTTATTTCTCCATAACACATTCCTTTGCATTTGTACGTCTGGACTTGATGTTACATTAAAATACAAAACAACATTCATACATGGAGGAACTGACTTTCTGCAATAAGAAAAATTCATTTTTCAAATAGAATGAAAGTAAAAAAAATCCATTTTCATTTTAGAAAATTAAGGAGTCAAGCTCATGCTTTTTACTTTTTCCTTACGTAAAGTACAGTATAGATTATGTTTAAACTTTTACCATTAGAAAGATAGAAAAGGCATCATATATTTGAAAATAAAGTACTACAAAAAAGAGTAAACTGCTGCATACATGTACACATACAAATTTGAGTAACAAAGATGAATGAACATTATTTGGCTACACTTGCATTTTTTTTTTTTTTTTTTTTTTTTACAGTCTTTGATATTACTCAATTTTCACCCAATGGCTAGCATGGTATGAAGAGACGTTTCAAATATCAAATGCACCTTGATTCTGTAGGGGCTATTTCGTCTTTAAAAAACCAATATAAATCACTTTGCTGTTAGAATATTAACATAGCAAACCTTAACATGGTGTTTACTATGCGACTGTTCTAGGTACTCTCACATATATTAATGCCTCACAACAACCGTAAGAGGTAAATACTATTAATGCTGTTACAGGTTTATAGATGAAGAAACTGAGGCACAAAGAGATTAAGTGGGCAGGGCATGGTGGCTCACACCTGTAATCCCAGCACCGTGGGAGGCTGAGGCAGGTAGATCACTTGAGCCCAGGGGTTCGAGACCAGACTGGGCAACATGGCAAAACCCTGCCTCTACAAAAAATAAAAAATTTAGCTGGGCATGGGCTGAGGTGGGAGGATCTCTTGAGCCTGGGAGGTGCAGGTTGCAGTGAGCTGAGATTGTGCCACTGCACCCCAGCCTGAGCGACAGAGCACAACTCATCTCAAAAAAAAAAAAAAAAAAAAAAAAAAAGAGAGAGAGAGAGAGATTGAGATTAAGTGGCTTGCACATGGTCACACAGCCAGCAAGGGCAGAGCTGGAATTTGAACCCAGGCAGTTTGGCTCATGTGTTGTACGTGCTCTTTTATCAGTGGTTCTCAAGTGTAGCCTGCATCAGAATCCCCTGCGGGGGCTTAACACATGGATTGCTGCCCCTCACCCCTAGGGCTTCTGACTCAGTAAGCTTGGGGAGGGGCCTGAGAATCTGCATTTCTAACAGGTTCCCACGTGATGCTGATGCTGCTGGTCTAAGAACCATACTTTGTGAGCCAAGGACCTAAAGCCAGACTACCTCTCCATGAAATATGAGCAGGACTACCTGTGCCTGTTTTGTGAACTTAGAGTTGAAAGCTATCTGCTCTCAAGATTTCTTGCTCCTCTCCCTAAAACAGTGCAAACCAAATGTAGGCTGCTCCACAAGTCAGTGTGTCTTATGGATGGGCATGACCCTCAGGGTGTCATCGAATTAGGCTAATAAACAGAACTGCAGGTGAGATCGAGTCCAAAGTATCAGTGTTATTAGAAGTCTTGGTTCTATATGTCCAAGGCAGGGTAAGAGGGGGAAAGAGGATGGAAACTTTATACAAACTGACGGCTACCCAGTCTGCTCTCTTTGGCCACATAAACACAACAATGCTTCCATACACTGGGGTATACTCTAATCTTCACTAGTGATCAAGTGCGGAGTTTGTCACCTGTTATTTTTATTTAGTTAGTTTGTCTGTTTATTTATTTTTGAGAGAGAGTCTTGCTCTGTCACCCAGGCTGGAGTGCGTCATCTTGGCTCACTGCAACCTCCGCCTCCTGGGTTCAAGTGATTCTCCTGCCTCAGCCTCCTGAGTAGCTGAGATTACAGGTGCACGCCACCACGCCTGACTAAGTTTTGTATTTTAGTAGAGACGGGGGTTCACCCTGTTGGTCAGGCTGGTCTTAAGCTTCCGACCTCAAATGACCCGCCTGCCCCGGCCTCGCCAAGTGCTGGGATCACAGGCGTGAGCCACTGCACCCAGCCCCCGCTACCTTTTAAACATGTGACATGCAAATATTACATGTTTTAGTTCTCATCACCAACCCTACATTTCCACATTCCCGTCCAAGGTGGGGAAATGAAACAGTAAAAGTGCTATTGATTTTTTTTTTTTAAAAAGATGTTTTACAAAGTAATCTTTTAAAAAAGTTTTTTATTTTTAGTTTTTATGGGTATATATAGTAGATGTACCTATTTATGGGGTTACAAAGTAATCTTAACCACCGGCATGGCCTGCCTCCCACAAAGCTGGACAACATAGTATGGAGACACACGTAACCAAAGCGATCTGTTTCGAGGCATGAATGATAAATATATAAGGCATAGTTTCCAGAAATAAAAACCTATTTTCTTTTCTCTTCATGTTTACCAAGTAGATAAGCAGTTCCCAAAGAACAGCGTCTCCTGCCCACCACCCACTGGCTCTTCCCGCCAGCATAAAATGTTTTAGCATTCTTTTGAGTGTATATGATTCTTTATAACTTTAATTCCTCTCCATAACATTCTCTTCTACCCTGTGCCTTACCAAGAACAGAACATAGGCTGAGGAACAAGAAGGTCTGATGGCTCCTTGAGCAGTCTTTTTTTTTTTCTCCCCAAGTAGACCGTTCTAGGTATAAGTCATATGCCCTTGACTAGGAAGATGAAACTAACCAGTTACATAACCTGAACCATGGGTCACTTGTATTATCCCTTTTTCAGGGGCAAAGGAACAAATACTGAAAAGCTCACTGCTTGCCTCTCGAGGCCCACACAGAGGGAGCCAGAGATTATCAAGTCAGCAGTAAGATTTCAGGAGTCCCTAAGGATCATGCCTGTGAAAGCCAGACACAGAAAGAGAAAAAGGTGTGGCTGGGCACAGGGATAAAAGGCTTTGGTTTTCTTCTGCCCAAACTATAATATAGTGTTCTCCCATCCTGGCTTTCTCAAATTTGCCCTTCTCTTCAAAAAAGAAACCCGTCTCAGGTATCTAAAAAGGGTGAACTTTTGTCTTCATTTCAGCAGGCAACACTGAAAATCCAACAGATTTTATAGAGCAATCAGTCCATAGGTAATGTTTTTCTAAAGAAACCACTCTCCTCCATCCTGGAAATGGATCAACATTGGGTCCCGATCTTGTTTCCAGGACTATGCCATTTCATTACTGAATCAAATGTCAACATTTGTCGGGATTCATTAAAAAGATTTCCAAATGAAAATGATAAAACACACTATACTTCAAAGACTTAAGCTTCTGGTCATGATGTATCAAACTAACATTCCCACTAAAAAAAATACTGAATTAACTAAAAAACACACTTGTTTGAAGTTCTCTTAGAGCAACCAAGCAAGGCAACACTAGATGGGTCAAGACCTCAGGGAGAAAGGAAATGCATTAAGGTGAGCCTTGTGTTTGCTGCTGCCTTTTCCTTTCAGGGCATTTGATAATTTCTAGTACGAGGCACAGACACCAAGCAGCAATTGGTAGCGGCCTAGAGCTTTACGCAGTATCACCAGCTGGGGAGAAAATCAAAATTCAAGGCAGCTAGTGCGTGAGAAGAGCTAAAGTCCCAGAAAAAAAGGGGGCTGCATGGAAATGAGCTCATAAAAGTGATCTCATAGAAGCCTGGGTCACTTCTGTGTAGTCCCTTTCCTCTAGGACTCTGGCTCTTCAAGTCCTGGCCTCCTTGAACTCCAACATTTCCACTTGAGGTATTTACCAGATATTAAGCTGTGTTTATATGGGACGAGGAGTTGAGAAAACAAGTAGAAAGAAACTGTTTAGAGGCTCAAAAGCAAAGCAGAGGGTTTGGCAGTCTCACAGTGCTGAGGAGCTAAAAAATCGAGTACAGAGTCCACCAAGGAAGAGGGGCTCTTGTAAACATTCCAGACTTTTATGGTTTTTTATTTTTCTAAGATTTTTAAAATTAAAAAAAATTTTTTGAGACAAGTTCTTGCTTTGTTGCCCAGCATAGAGCGCAGTGGTGCAATCATAGCTCACTGCAGCCTCAACCTCCCAGGCTCAAGCAATCCTCCTACCTCAGCCTCCTGAGGAGCTGGGACTAAAGGCATGAGCCACCAGCCTGGCTAATTTTTTAATTTTTATTTTTGTAGAGACAGGGTCTCTTTATGTTTCCCAGGCCAGTCCTGAACTCCTAGGCTCAGGCAATCCTCCCACCTTGGCCTCTCAAAGTGCTGAATTTATAGATGTGAGCCGCTGTGCCCAGCATCCTAGACTTTTAGCTGAAAGGGCTAAACTCTAGGAGAAAGGGAAAACCATAAACAGATAAGCCTTAATACATCCTTAAACCCTGCCTAACCTGGAACAAAAAGAAAAAGGTGATTTGGCCATATTTTGTCTGCCTTACAGAAGAACATTGAATCTAGTCTGGAAGGAGATAACAGTATCTAGAACTTTTTTCTTAATGTCCAGAATTTCATAAATAGAAAATTAGCAGTCTTGCCAGGAAATAAAACCAAACAAGGAAAAATCAAGGGAACAAACAGGTAGTGGAAATAGACCCATAGGTGATCCAGATAGCAAAGTTATCAGATATGGTCTTTGAATCCAGCCTTATATAAAAAGAATAATAAAGCACAAGTTGAACTTGTTCCAGGGATATGAGGTTAGTTTAACATTTAAAAGTCATTTAATATGGCAGACACATAACATTATAAAGGAGAAAAATTATATGATTGTCCCAAAATTAAAAAAAAACATTTGATAAATCCATGCCCATTCCTAATGTTAAAAAACTCTTAGAATACTAGAAATAGAGAAGAATTTCCTTTATCTACTGAAGAGTTATCTACAAAAATATTTAGAGCAATCATCATTCTTAATGATGAAATATTAAATCTTTACCTGAGATTTAAAAATCTGATGGAAATCTGAACAATTTCAACATTGTACTGGACGTCCCAGCCAGCACAATAAAGCAAGAAAAAGAGAAATAAAAAATAGAATTGAAAAGGAAAAAATAAAACTAGTATTTATAGATTATATTCACAGAAATTCCAAAAGGCCATGCAGAAAAACTATTCGAATTAACATGTAAATTTGCAAGGTTGCTGGATACAAATTAAAATCAATGGTATGCTATATGTGAGCAAAAACCAATTTGGCACTGAATTTTTAAAAAACTATTAATACCATTTACAACAGCATCAGAAACTTCAATACCTAAAATTAATCTAATAAAAATGTTCAAGACATACAAAAAACTATATTACTGAGAGTTATTAAAGAAGGCCTAAGTAAATACCACTTTCTTGAACTGAAATCCTCATTATCGATGAGATGTAAATCCTTCCCAAATTGATCTCTAGATTTAGTGCAATTCCAATCAGAAGCCCAGCAAGTTTGTTTTTATTTTTTGTGGAAACAAACTGATTTTAAAATTTACATGGGAATGTGAAGGGCCATTAATAGCCAAGAAAGTCTCAAGAACAATTTTGAGGTTACACATCAGATATCAAGCCTTATTATAAAACTGAAGGAATTAAGACAGTGGAGTATTGGTGCAAGAAGAGAAAAATTAACCCAGGGAACAGAAGATCCAAAAAATGGACTCACACATATATAGTCACCTAATTTATGAGAAAGTTGCCACTAAAGCACATGAGAAAAAGATAGTATTTTCAATAAATGGTACAGGGTCAATTAGGTTTTCTATTCTTACACATCTGGTCTATGTGACCTACTTCAGTGGTTCGCCCTGTGGTCTCAACAATCTCCTACTGTAGTTTAGCTCATTCTGCTGAGCTCAAAACTTCTACATCTCACATCGTCTCGGGTACTCATACCATGACTCAAACGTGCAAATCTGAACTCTGCTTATTCCTGTGTTCCCGATCTCTGTGAATGGTTCAGAGTGCAGTATCAAACTAAAAATTCTGGAAAATGTGTTTTTACCCTTTTCTCTCCTGGGACAATTATATTCTGTCTGTAAAATAGGTAAGATTTTGTGAATTCTGTCAAAAATTAAAGCAATAGTTCAGTCTGGGATTGTTCCTGGAGACTCCAACAGCAGCCTCCTGTGCTTGCCTGAGGAAATCTTCCTGTTTTAGTAAGGAGGGAGGGATGAAGGGGGAAGAAAAGAATATATGTTTATTACCACTGAACTACACACTTAAAAATAGTAAAGATGGTAAATTTTATATGTAGCTTTAACTTCAATAAAAATGTATTAAAAACATGAAAACCAAAATTAGCCAGGCATGGTGGCGGGCGCCTGTAGTCCCAGCTACTCGGGAGGCTGAGGCAAGAGAATGGCTTGAACCCAGGAGGTGGAGCTTGCAGTGAGCCGAGATCGCACCACTGCACTCCAGCATGGGCAACAGAGCGAGACTCTGCCTCAAAAACGAACAAACAAACAAAAAACAAAAACATGGAAACCAACTACAGAGCAGCATTTCCCTCCTTGATTTTAAGATGCATTTCTTCAAAGCCTAAGGATTCTGAAGTTACGATGAATATATAAACCAAACTCTAAAATCAAATGACAAAAAACATCCTTGCCTATTTCTAAACAGAGGAGTAACCTGGGATATTGCTTAAATGGAACATAAATTTTAAATTTGGTAATTCTTCAAATGTCTCCCAAAAGATTGTACCATGATAGAACATGGAGAAGAAAAGTTATCATACACACAGAATATAGACCATCACTGCCGAGCAATGCAAATGCCAAAACACAGAGAGCAGAACACGGAATTTCAAAACTAGCAGAGACAAGTGTGGCCGATCTTCATGGACCAAACAGGACCACGGTTCAGATATTGAACGTGTCTGTTAAAATTTCTGGTTGGCTTTCAAGAGATGCTCTTTGACTTCTAGGTATACAAAATTCAATTACAACAGTAAAAGTATGCCTTTAACCAAGTAAAAAACGTAGAAGAAAATGATATTCTCTAAAGACCTCAAAATGTCACTATTCATATAAAGGTGCTACAGAACAAAGATCATGAGTGCATGTTGTGAAAAGCATGTACTCATGATGCTACCATAGGTGACTATGAAAGGTCAGAAGTCATTCAGAGCAGTCTATACTCCCGGTGTGAAGTCAGCTTAGTATGCATGCAATACAGAAAAAATAGTAAAGAAGTAAACTGACAAATATATAATACTTTTGTGTAAATTTATTCCAATCTTTCTTCCCTTCTATTCCCCTCCTCTAGAAAAACTGTTAATAGATCAGTGGTTGGTCAAGAGATCAACAAAGTTTTGCAAAGGTTTTCTGTAGGAAGGCCTTAGACATCAAAGTACCAGAGTCTGAATTCTAACAGACACAGATCTTCACTACCTATGAAAACATTTGCCATTCAAACAGAAGCATTCTTGGGGTGTCTGCTTCAAACCTAAGGACATGGAGGTGTGAGGATGTGTCATAAGGAGGTTGCTTACCTCTTTCCGGTACTTCGTCTTTATCTTGAGACTGTACCCACATAATTGAAGTGACTTTTAGGAAGCATAGCAGACAATAGTTTAGGAATTATTTGGTCTTGGCAAAATTCGTATGTGCCATACTTTGTTCTCTCAAGGATAACATGCCTGCCCTGTCTATCTGATAAGGTCATGGTAAAACCCTAATGAGAAAATATAAGAGAAGGCCTTTTCCAAACTGTAACTACTATATGAATGCAATTTTTTTTACCTGCATCATCACAAGGACACAATGATTTATAACACCAAATTTTAATACCAAAGTCATCTTTTAAACACCATGCAATACCATGAAGTAAACTTCTAAAAATAAATAAAGCGCAAAGGCATCATGTGTTACTCAAGCTTAATGATGCAGACTATTGTTGCAGCCTGATGGGTTCTTCTTGCCCACTGCCCAGAAAAGCCAATGCACTGAAAACAGCAGGTATTACAGCAAAGAAAGAGGTCAATAATCATAGGACCAGCCAACTAGTACGACAGGAGGTATTTCTCAAATATGCCTCCCCGAGAATTTGGAGGCTAGAGTTTTTAGGGTACTTTGACAGGCAGGGAGCTGGGGAACTGAAATCACTGACTGACCGAGGATGAAATCACAGGGGTGTCTAAAACTGTCTTCACATAGCTGAGTCAGTTCCTAGGAAGGAATCTCAGGACCAGGTGGTATCTCGTGGTCTGCTGAAATGCTAACTCTGAAAAATATCTCAAAGACAAGTTCTTTAGCTTTCACAATAGTGATGTTATCTATAGGTGTAGTTGGGGAAGTCATACACTTTGTGAACCCCAGTTACATGATTCTGGGGCAGTCAGCAACTTATAGACAAGTAAGCTGATCAATGGCAAGTCACTGTTTATGCCTATTCTTTAGCAAAGCTTGACCCCCTTCCATAATTCTAACCTTGTGACCTCTTTACAAATATAGTTTCAATTTTTAAACATGAAGGGGATCCATTCAAGGAAAGGACCACTATGGCCTCTGCACAAGAATGAGCAAGAGCAATTTAGCCAAGTAGAAGCAAGATGGAGTCAGTTAAGTCAGATTTCCCTTGCCAATGTAATTTTTGCAAAAACTGTTTCCCTATTAGGTTGCTGATTCCATTCTAATCTATGAGTTGCTTCAATCAAATCTTCCATGACTTAGACTCCATCTAAGGGCTTATTCTCAACTTTTGAGTAAAGTATCAAGTGTTTGCTTGTTCTTACTAAAAGTACCGTCTATTCAAGTAGCCACCTTTTTTCTTTTTAAACTTACCTGGTCCCGTCATTTCTTTTCAGTCAAAGGAACATGTTTGTGCAGAGTTCACAGCAAAAGCCCATCTTGCAAGAATCTTCCCTGACCCTCCCTGGGTCAGGCTTCCTAACTGTCTTTAATATCAGAAGGCTGACACACAACTTCTGCCACCCCAGCTGAGTGTGTGACTCAGCATTTAAAACCCTGACTCTGTTTTTAATTTTTCAAGGAGGTCAACTATTTTGCAACACAAACCCTTGTTAAATGGAGTTAATCCATCAACTACTACAAATTTCACTTAAACACAGATTAGACAAATACATTTCTTCACAAGCCTGGAGAATTGTTTTCAGCCAAGACACCCCAAGATGGTACAGATGGGGAGATCAAACCTTCCCCCGAAAGGAGTCCTGCAGCTGAATCTGGAGGCCTCTGGAAGAACGCTAGGAGGCGGCAGGAGGCCTGGGCTCCTGGCCCACAGATAAGAAAAGAAAATCTCTTCCTGGCCAAACTGGAGCCCTTCAAAAGCATGAAACTCTCCCAGTTCTCCCAGAATTTCCCCTTTCCTATGCACAACAACGAAACACATGCAGGTGCCAAATGCTCCCATCCTAGAAGGCAAAGAAACTACAACTCTCCGCTTTGATAGAGAGTCATCAAAGGTTGGGACCATTCAGGATTTTATTTTCCAAACTCACTGCTGGCCTCGAGGAAGTATGACACCACCATCCTAAGCACAGGGCAGCTGTTCTTTTTTGGCTGGAGTTCAGTATAAACCTTACAAATGTTCTGCTAACTTTCTCTCTCTCTTTTTTAAAACAAATAACAATTTTTTTAAATGCCAGTCACTTAACTCCCAGCCTAGGGTTTTCACTGTAAAGGTTTTCCTGCAGGACGGAGAAAAACATATATTCCCAATATATTTCTGAGCCAAAAAGATACCAGTAGGTTATTCTAACCAGAGAAACATAATGAAATAAATAATTAGGCAGACTGAAAATCAATGGCTAAAACAGTTCCAAAGAGTCAGTGAATACCAATTATCTCTGAAGTATCAACAGACAAAAATCTAGCAACAAAAAATGTACTTTTCAAAAGAGGCCCTCAGTAGTATAGCCACTGAATATATTTTTATTTAGGAGTGAGAATCAGATATCAGAAAACTTCCCTTTTGTTCCAAAATTGTGACCCATTATAAAGATACCACAATGGATGTATTTTACTCATTATTTAGCTCTCCTAGCTATGAATTACCTACAACTATCAGCATGTATGTTCATACCATGAAATGTCCCAAAGCATGGCATCTGTCCTTCCTCCTTCTGTGTTTCCCCATTACAGACCTAAATATGCACAAGGGCTGGATGCTGGCGGTGCTTTCAAAACAAAAATGAACCTTTCACGGACAAATTAATGTTGCTTATGAGTTCAGGTGTGTGTATTTGTGACAGACCCACACACAGATCAATACATTCAGGAAAAACCAAAGTCATTCTTAAGCCTTTGGAAATTCTTGGGAAATCAATAGACTCACAAGACCAAAAGTGGGAACCTGGACTTGGTTTATAAAACCAAATCTGACAAATCCCTTACGGAGTCTGGAAGCATGGAGTTCCCTCCCCCATATGTTCACTTCCCTTCATTTTTATCCTTGTAGCTGCCATATAATTGCCAGACCGTCATATCACCTGCTTAATTTCCACCTTGTACACACTAAGAGCTACACGGTAACACTATTCTACTATGCATAAAGGCCTTGATTCTCACTGACTTACTAAACTGACCCCTAAATACTAAGCAAAATTCGAGGTCATTGGCTTCTGTGTATTGGCTTCTTCTGTACTAACGACTATAAAACTTCATCCCTCAGCCCTTCCAGTCCTCCAGCAATTGTTCCATGGAAGTTTTTCTGTATTGCTAGGCAGCTCCATGCACATGCTTCACTGCAGTTCTTTTGTAAAATGGTCTGGCCTTGTTTTAGGAAACGAGAGTAATACAGACATGGAAAAAGTCTACTGCTCCCTTGTATCCAAGTGATAAAAAAAAAAAATACATCACACACAAGCTTACTCAAAGATACATGTGTGTATGTGTATCTTATGTGCACAAATACACTGCCTTGTATTCACTGGAATTATTATCACTTACAAGCATCATATACTTTTAATGTATGAATTTATTTTAGCCACTCTCACCTATCATTCAAAATGAGGACTAATCAATAGTGGGAACATTTTAACCCTAATAAATTATGGAGTTATCTGATCACAAAAGATGCTTATAATAAATACATTCACTAGCTTTCTTAGGAAAAGATAGCTATTTGGAAAATCAAATAGCAAAAGATCTCACCAGCTAAACACTCCCATTTACAACACCCACCTCATCGTACTCACATGCTGCCCCTGAACTCCAGGTCACCCTGCACAGACATAGCTGGGGTTATTGTCATGACAAAAGGTGGGAAACAGGGGCCAGCCCCACCTTTGGGGCTTTCTCGAGCCTTCATACCTGTGCTGATGCTCCTGTAAGACTTGATAAATGCTGATAAGAAAAGTTTGGTTTTTAAAACTCCCCATAACACAGTCCTTGTAGATGCGGAATTCTGCAGCCGTCACCACCTCACCCTCAGGAATCTGGGATAAGTTGAACTTGAACTCTTTGTGGTGTCGCTGACGAGGGGAGAACTCCTTGTCGTACTCCACTATAAGATTAAACAAGAGAGAGTGACAACTATTGTTACTTGACTAAGTGCCACGGGCTTACCTCACCAGTTTCCCCGTTTGACTTCATAGGTGGATTACCAATTACCCACGGCTTACTACGGGGATCGGGTAGTGAACAGACCACTGGCTGGCCCATGAGGAGGAGATGAAAATCCTTCATGTTACCCAAGATGAAGCAAAATTCTTAGATTTTATTTAGTTTAAATACTTCTGCTTATATACTTATTTGAATGAATTTGCATGAGAGCAAGTTATGAAAACTCTTGCGTTAAAGTTTTCTCATCTGCAAAAATGGGAAGAGTATGACTTCACAGAAAAAGGTGTGAGAATTAATGAAGCAATGAAGAAGAACCCGTCCGCCCATCCTGGCCCCGTTATGTCCTCCTGGCCCCCTCTCCTCCCGGCTACTCTTCCCTCCTCAGGCTGGTTCACGTGTCACCATCAGCAGTTGACATAACCAAGGGCAGCCCTGAGCTGAACATTGGTGGGGATGGCTGCGGGTGGGGAAGGGGGGTGGGCAAAGCATTTTGCCTGGGCCTGAAGTGTAAAGGGTCTTCACATTTTGCCTGTTCAGTGGAAATATTTATGCCTTCCTCCTACTGGTAGAACCTGAAGGCTCCACGACTCTGAGCAGTGGGGGACTCTCCACACTGGGAAGTTGCTGGAACCCCCATTTAATCTGCATGTAGATGCCACAAAGATGTGGAAGGAAATCACCAACAGAGCAGAGCCACTGCTATTTTCTCATGGTTTACATTGAAAAAAAAAAAAAACTGGGGGGAAAGGATAGAATCTAAAAGGTTTTTTAATATGGAATCAACCTATTGTGCACTGAAAGATGAATGAAGAAAACGTGGTATGTGCATAAATGCATTTGTATTTGGTCTTAAAAAAGGGAGAGCTTCTGCCACTTGCAACATGGATGAACCTGGAGGATGTTATGTGAAGTGAAATAAGCAAAGCATAGAAAGACAATCACTGCACGACCTCACTCATATGCAGAATCTAAAAAAGTGGAACTCACAGAAGCAGAAAATAGAATGGAGGTTACCAGGAACTGGGACAATCTCACCACAAAAAAAATAAAGCCGTGTCTCTGTGAGGTGATAAACACATTAATTAGCTTGATAGTGGTAATCATGTCATAATGTATATGTATTAGTATATCAAATCACGTTGTACCCCTTAAATACATACAATATTTGTCAATTACACCACAATGAAGCTAGAAAAAATACGTTTTTAAAATAAAATCTTTTTCCCGCATGAAGACAAATGAGAAATTGCAATTACTGATGATTTTTCAGTCAGATTTTAGGTGTCTATACAAAGTCCTGTGTGAGAAAAGTGATATCAAACTTCAGATGCCTCACTTATAATTGCTGTAAAAGGAAAAAAGGAGTGCTCTGTTTCCCACCATAAACCCTTGACTCTTTTCCCCAGAGTCAAGAAACACTTCTGCCTTGCTGTTCCTGTTCGTTTTTCCTTAATGGCAACCAAAGTGAAATCTCATGAGCAAATTAATCCTTATAGCAGAGTTTTCCCAAGGTTTGTGGGTAGAAAAAATATCAAATTATTAGCCACCTCCAACTTCCCACTTTCTCTTACACATGTTGTTTTTCATAATTACCAGAGAAAAGCTTTGGAGATTTAGCTTCTTAAAAAAAAAAAAAAGAAAGAAAAGAAAAGAAAAAAAAGAGCTAACTCCCCAGAAGAATCTAAGTCCTCAATGGCATTTGCAGAAGCTAAGTTAAGCCATCTATAGGTACAAGATTTTTTAAAAAGAATTTCTGAAACTGCCATGTAATTACACAACACATTTTTTAGATTCGAGTTCTTTTTTTTTTTTATTTTGAGGGTTAAAAAAGAATAAGCTTTGGCTTCTGTAAAAGCTTGAATATAAGCAAGAAGAAGTCCAACCAGAAAAGTAAACCACAGTTTAGCCCCAACAAGAGAGCAGGTTTTCTAATTAGTGGCTACGCATGAAAAGCAATATTGTTGGGAAGTTCACTCAAGGACACCCACACAGGACGGTGTATCACTTTTCCCTAAAACCGATCTGCCTTTTAAGTTTGATATGTTATCATCGTTGGTTAAAAAGTGAATCAAATCTGATTTTCCAAAGAGACTTTCTAAAAAACAGTCACACAGCTTTTCTCTATAGAGCTTTTTGGAGGCCTAATTGTAATATTACTAAATGAAAATAATATTTTAAGATTCGCTGGAGAGCATGTGTAAGAATTCTTCAAAGAAGTCTTTCAATAAACTTCCTTAGAAAAAATATAAGAAATAAGACATAAGACAGTAACTTTAAGATATTTCAGTTATAAGGAGCAGAGAAACAGACATTTTTAACAAAGGAGAAATGTGGTAGCTGGTCTTCTGAGAGGTATGCCATTCCCAATAAACCACATCTCCCAGCATCTATGCCCGTGGGTGGTCTGCTCCCTTCGGGTGGCTCTGAGCTGGCTCTGTGGCTGGCTGTATGACCTGTTTTGGACCAACAGAACGAAAGTCTTCAACAGTGGTGCTGAGTGACTTCCAAGGCTGGGTCATAAGCTTTGAACTTCCTTCCACTTAGACTTCTTGGAATGCTTGTCTGAGGAAAGACAGCTGTCATCTAAGAAGTGTGACTACCCTGAAACTTCCATGTTGTGAGGAAGCCCAAGCTAGCCATGTAGAGAAGCTACACAGAGGGGTGGGAGAGGAGAACAGAGATGGGGGTGGGTGGGAGAAGAGAGAGACAGAACACACAAACTGTCCAGCCTGTCCCCAAGCACCTCAGCTGAGGCACCAGAAGTGTTATGAAGATGCCATCTTGGATGTCCTTTGCATGACTCAGCCCCAGCCACCACCTGGTTGCAGCTGCACAAGAGGCCTTGAAAGAACCACCTAGTTGAACCTGGTCATTCCACAAGACTGTGAGAGATGGTAACTCGTTGTTGTTTTAAACCACTATGTTTTGGGGGATTTGTCACACGGTAATAGGCAACTAACACAACAAGGGAAAGGGGGATGGGAGGAAAAGAGGAGGGAGGAGAGAAAAGGGAAGTCTGACCATGCCAGGAAGGGGATAAATTGCATGTAACTTTTAAGGATAAGTGTTGTGCAATGCTGGGAGCCCATATGTACGACTAAGGAAGAATCTTGGCAAATGCTCACAGATTTGAAGATGTGAGGAGATAAAAAATCTAAAAATGAGAAAACAGAAGCACAGTTCAAAGCATTCCTTTTATTACAATGTAAAATAGAACCCATTGCCTCATATGTGGATTTTCCAATTTTTCCTCTACCAAAACAACAATATCATGAAGTACTCTGAACTTTCTTTTCCTTTATCCTTCTTAGAAAAGATGCACGGCTTCCTTAGTGTCATCCACGAGCCTCTGATTGCCACCCACAACCTTTTAAACTCTCACGCCCATCCCATTACCGTCTGGTCTTCTAAGCTGCTCCTGTGCCTTTTACCTCAAAGCTGTACCACCTTCCTCACTCTCCTCATCATACCTCAGCCACTGATCACTGAAGTTTGCTCAGAACTCCTCCGTTCCCCCCACTCTTTTGCCTGCGATTGAATGTACACAGTTTGTTTGCTAATGTCTCATAGGGATATAAGAAATAAATACAATTAGGTTACTGCCTGTATGTGCACCTGAACGCCACAATGGTAAAACAGTAATGTTTCCAATGAGCGCAGCAATTCAAGCTATATGAGTCAAGACTCCTCAAATGCCAGACAGTTCAAGAAATATGAATGGGAGAGAAAGGGAGAGGGCTGAGTTCCAAATTCAGCCCTCAGTACCTACTTTATACCCATTAGCATTTGGCTTACTGATGATGGGGCCAGATGCAGTCACAATTAAGTCGTAGTTAAGAGTGTTGGTGACATGTCAAACTGAGACGCTGGTGTTGAATTCTAGCTTTTTTCTTACCTATATGATGCTGAGTTAAATAATAAAGTTTCAGTATCAGGTAAATTGAAATAATAACATTTCTAAAGATTAGGTGACACAATCTATACAAAATAGCCAAAGCCACGGAGTCAATACCCAATCAATGTTAGCTGTGATAATCATTGGCTGTTATTTGAGAATCCAGGTCCTCGGAGCTTGGAGTATGTCTTTGCTGAGTAATTCAAATTTATTCACGAGTCTACAGATAGGACTGACGGCTGCTCCCTCTAAATTAGCTTTTTCAATTCGAGTGAGGCATTCTGTGAAAGGCCAGTAAGCAAAATCTCACTGAGCATCAGCCTTGGTGGCTGGCTCCTGAATGCGGCGCTGTGTTCTCTGAGGCAATAATTCCTAGAATTTTTAAATTTCAAGGACCAGTCAAGACAGTTTTTGAAATGATAATGACCTTACACAAGGCTATCTGCTTCTTCTGCTTGCCATTGTTAAGGACAATAAAAACAAAACAACAAACTGCATGCTCTAACTCTACCACTGCATTTCTAAAAGTCTTTTTAATACTAAATAAAATAGGGAAGACATACTGAACAAACGAAGCTTTATAAAACTCACTTCCTTCTCTCCTTTCTGCCTCAGACCATCCCAGTGGAAATTTCTCACCTGTCCTAGACCTTTGGCCAACACATAGGAACAAAAGCCTTAAGGAATAAAAGTCACTGGTTTAAGATTTAAAATGTAAATTATGTAATTATACATACAAAAGGATGTATGCAATTTACGGAGGTAATGAAGCATAATAGTAAAGCACCAAGGAAACCATCACCCAACCTGAAAACCAGAAAGTGACTGAGACTGTTGTATTCTTTCCTGATCCTCTTCAACTGCTTCTCTCCAAAGGTACCTCACATCAGGAATAATGTTTATCACTCCCCTGCCCTTTAAAACCTAACAATTCTACTGCATGTGTGTATCACTAAATCATACACTGTTCGGTTCTCCTCCTTTCCTTTCCTTTTTAGAGACATGATGAAGTTGTACAGGCAGGCTCACATGGAAAATGTAGGCCTGGTTATGGTTAAGAGCAAGGCAGCCTGTGTGGAGGGTCGTCTGCCTGTCAGCGGGTGAATGGCTCATGTATCATAGGTGGGCATGGCCGCTGTGCAGGCAATGGTGACCAGTAACTCCTCTCCTTCTTCAGCCCTACTTCATAGAGATGTATTAAAAGTATGGGCATTTTCTGACAAGTGTTGATAAAGATTTAGAGAAACTAGAACCCTTGTGCTTTGCTGATGGGAATGCAAAATGGTGCAGCACTGTAGCAAATAGTGTGGCAATTCCTCAAACAAACATAAAATTAGCATTGATCCAGCAATTATCTTTCTGGATATATATGCAAAAGCATTAAAAGCAGGGCCTTGAACGGATATTTGTACACTCATGTTCATGGCAGCATTATTCACAATAGCCAAAAGCTGGAAGCAACCCACATGTCCACTGACGGATGAATGGGTAAACACAATGTGGTACAGACCTATGATGGAATACTCTTCAACCTTAAAACGGAAGGAAATTCTGACACATGGTACCACATGAACCCCGAGGACATTGTGTGAAGTGAAATGTGCCACCCACAAAAGGACAAATACTGTATAATTCCACTTATATGAGGTAGCAAGCCTAGTCAAATCCATAGAGATAGAAAGGAGAATGGTATACCAGGGGCTATGGGAGAGGGGAATGGGAAGTTCAGGTTTAGTAAGTACCCAAATAGTCAGCTTGGGAAGAAGAAAAAGTTCTGGAGAGGAAGTGGTGATAGTGGCACAATCAATGTGAATGTCCTTAATGCCACTGAACCGTACACTTAAAAACTGTTAAAGCAGCCAGGTGCAGTGGCATTGCCTGTAGTCCCGGCCCCTTGGGAGGCCAAGGCAGGAGGACTGCTTGAGCCCAGGAGTGTGAGGCTGCAATGAGCTATGATTACACCACTGCGCTCCAGCCTGGGCAACAGAGTGAGACCCTGTCTCTGTAAAATAATAATAAAATTGTTAAAGTGATCAGATTTCCTCAAATATCTAAAAAACTGTCTAAATTTTGTGTGTTGAAATCAGGAGCCAGTGTTCACTCATGACACTTGATTATTCTACCTCTTAAGTCTCTTTTAAACTAGCAAACCAGGCATAGAAAGAACTCCATTAACCTGATAATGAGTGTATATTAAAAAGATCCCTACAGCTAAGGACAGTCTTTTTTTTTTTTTTTTTTTTTGAGACAGAGTCTCGCTCTGTCACCCAGGCTGGAGTGCAGTGGCGCGATCTCGGCTCACTGCAAACTCCACCTCCCGGGTTGACGCCATTCTCCTGCCTCAGCCTCCCGAGTAGCTGGGACTCCAGGCGCCTGCCACCACGCCAGGCTAATTTTTTGTATTTTTAGTAGAGACGAGGTTTCACCGTATTAGCCAGGATGGTCTCGATCTCCTGACCTCGTGATCCACCCGCCTCGGCCTCCCAAAGTGCTGGGATTACAGGCGTGAGCCACCGCGCCCAGCCAGCTAAGGACATTCTTAATGGTGATACATTCACATCACTGCCTTTAAAATCAGGAGAGCGGCAAGGACTCTGACTTTCAGTCTGATGTTGGAGTCCAGTTCGGTACTATTAAGATTAAATAATAGGAAAAGAAGAGACACATTGCAAAGCATTGGACCTAATGAGAAAGTTTAGAGGGTTGCTTTCATATATTTACTATTTGGAATTTTTATGTGTGAGTTCGTAAGTGAGACTGGCGATGTTCTCATTTCCTATGGCATTGTGTGGTTTCAAGTTATACAATTTTCCCCTCTTATCCGAGGGGGATACCTTCCAAGGGCCCCAATGGATGCCTGAAACCGTGAATAGTGCCAACCCTATATGCACTATGTTTCTTCCTATACGTGCATACCTAGGAAAATAAATTTAAATTTATAAATTAGGCATAGTAAGATTAATGATAATAAAACAAATACAACAATATACTATAATAAAAGTTATATGAAGATGGTCTCTCTCTCTTTTTCAAAATATCTTACTATACTATACTCAACTGTTTTCAGACCTCAAGAGCAAACTGTGGAAACCGAAACTGTGGATACGGAAACCGTGGATAAGGGGGAACTACTGCACTTTCTCTTGGAATAAGCTGGGGAGCCTTTCAGCTCCTTCTTTTCAAGAAGTAATATACTTCCTGAAAATCTGGCAGACTTATCTGTAGAGTCATTTGATTCTGGTGTTTTCTTTTGGGGGACATTTTAAATTACTCATTTTCCTTTAAACATAGAAATATTGAACCTATTTCTTTTTAAGTCTGTTTTCTAGAGGTCTGTCCATTTTTAATTTTTCAAGTTTATTGCCATAATTTGTTTTAAATTTTATTTTATTTTATTTCAATACTTTTGGGGGAACAAGTCGTGTTTGGTTATATGGGTAAGTTTTTTAGTGGTGGGTTCGGAGATTTTGGTGCACCCATCGCCCAAGCAGTGTACACTGAACCCAATATGTGGTCTTTTATGCCTAAGCCCCCCTCAGTCTTCCCCCGAGTCCTCAAAGTCCATTGTGTCATTCTTTGACTTTGCATCCTCATAGCTTAGCTCCCACTTATAAGTGAGAACATACAATATTTGGTTTTCCATTCCTGAGTCACTTCACTTAGAATAATGGTCTCCAACCCCATCCAGGTTGCAGCGAACTATTACCATAACATTTTTCATAGAATCCTCTCATTATTTCATCTCTGCTCTATCTATGGTTGTTTCTCCTTTTTCATCCGAATTTGTACGTTCACTTTTCCTTGATCTTACTAAAGATTTTTCTTTTTTTCTCACTACTGCTTTGTTTGATGCTAATAAAGATATTTTAATATATATCTTTTCTGAATGGTATCTAAGTCTGAATTATTTCAATTAAAATTGTCCAGAGAAAAACAAAGACACTGCCTATCTCAAACTACAAACACAAAAGATAAAATAAAAAGGGGAACAACAGAGAGGAAAAAGAACAGAGCAATCGATTTAACATATTTACTTTAAAAGTAATCACATATTCATTATTCTCTCACTAACTGGACTTACTCTCTGGTTAATTTAGTCTAGATTAGTTAAGGCAATTACAATAATTCCCAATAAATCCTACATTTTCCAAATATTTCACGTTTCCATTTACAGTTACACACCAAACTTGAAATTTTTTTTGAAACATGGTCATTCCATTGACTAATGTAAGCAATTTTTCATTCTATGGCACAAGCTTATTTAATTTTAGGCAACAAGGACATTTCTGGCTGGACTTCCAAGGGTTGTAACGACAGCGGCCTTTTGACTTTCATGTTGCAAGCATATAACCTTGAATTGTAATACAAAGACTGAGCTAAACTTTCCAATTCACTTTTGACCAAGGTGAAACAAAAGACTTTACCCTCCAGGGTTCATCAAATATTTCTAAGTATTTGTATTCATATTCTATAAGAATCACAAATATCAAGAATAATCTATTTTTTCTGGTTGCCATGCTCCAAATGACATTTTTAAACTTTATTTTGTGTTGTAAATAATTAAAGTCCCACAAGTAGTTGAAAAAACAGTAGAGAAGCCCCATGCACCCTTCACCCAGCTTCCCCCCATAGTAACATTTTACATAACTGAAGTACAAGATCAAAACCAGGAAACTGACATTGGCTCAATACATTTACTAGACCACACCCACTCTGATTTCACCAGTTTTCACAAGCACTGTTTGAGTACGTATGTGTATTATTCTATGACCCCTTATCACATGTATAGATCCATGTTACCACCACCCAAATCCAGATCCAGAAATCCTCCGTTGCCACAATAAAACTCTCTGGGGCTACCCTTTTATTCCAAATGACTTTTTAAGAAGATATCCAGTACATGTATCGTAAAGAGCTTTAGGACACTAGGCACCTACATATTATTAGCACAAAGGGTTAATAGTCATTTTTTTTTAAAAAAAAAATCATGTTAAAACCATTTTCATACCCAAATATAGGTATTAATTTCACTTTAAACTGGGGAGATAGGCCGGGCGCAGTGGCTCACACGGGTAATTCCAGCACTTTGGGAGGCCGTGGGCAGATCACCTGAGGTCAGGAGTTTGAGACCGGCCTGGCCAACACGGGGAAACCTTGCCTCTATTAAAAATACAAAAGTTAGTCAGAAGGGCTTGGTGGCACATGCCTGTAGTCCCGGCTACTCGCGAGGCTGAGGCAGGAGAATAGCTTGAACCCGGGAGGCAGAGGTTGCAGGGAGCCGAGATCACGCCACTGCACTCCAGCCTGGGTGACAGAGCAAGACTCCATCTCAAAAAAAGAAAAAAAAAAATTGGGGAGATGCTCAGTAGCTACCACTATACATGTCTCATTATGGAAATTAGTAGTGGACCTTGGCTTCTATGAGAGCACACTCAGGCACTTCAGTCAATAAACATGCGTTGGGAAGAAAGATTTCAAATGAATGATCACAGCCTTGATAGAGTTCCATTAATGTCAAATAACCGCATTTTTGCCCCCTTACAAGGGCTGCCTTAAAGAAGCAATCAGACCACATTTAGTAAAAATCAATCTACACAACATGCCTTTTTTCACACTTGAGAAAAACTGCTACATCTCCAGTCAAAACACAGATAGGCCAGCTTAAAGAGAGAACAAAAGATCCTCCCACACCTGATTTCCACTGCAGAGGAACAACAGGCACAATATCCTCCACTTGACTAAGAACAACTCTCAGCCTGTATTCATTCCTTCAGACTCAGCATTCCTGGCCGGGCACGGTGGCTCACGCCTCTAATCTCAGCACTTTGGGCGGATCACAAGGTCAGGAGATCGAGACCATCCTGGCTAACCCCATCTCTACTAAAAATACAAAAAATTAGCCGGGCCTGGTGGCGGGTGTCTGTAGTCCCAGCTACTCGGGAGGCTGAGGCAGGAGAATGGCGTGAACCCGGGAGGCGGAGCTGGCAGTGAGCCGAGATGGTGCCACTGCACTCCAGCCTGGGTGACAGAGCAAGACTCCGTCTCAAAAACAAACAAACAAACAAAGCATTCCTTCCCGGGTGATCTGGGTTCTGTGGTCCCATTGACAATGCCATTGTCTTCTGGTACACTGCATTTGCTACAGTGTTTTGTGCCTACTTGTGTGTTTCTTTTTATTCATTCTGCCCGGCTCAGATGCCGTCGTAGTTCATCTGTCTGTGGGTTCCTAGCTCCCATCAGTCCTGGAAAATTCTCAGCCAGTCACTCATCAATTATGGCCTCTCTGCCATTTGTTTTAGAGTTTCCTTCAAAAATGACAATTAGGTATATATTAGACTTTCTAATGTCCACATCTCTTAGCTACTGATTTTACACCATTTATCTCCCGATCTCTGGACTAGATTTAGGTAATATCTTCTATTTACACATTTACCAGTTCTCTCCTTCACTGTTTAATGTGCAGTTTAAATAATCTATTAGTGAGTTTTGTTTATTTGTTCTTATTTTTTTTGGGTTGGCACCTCGCTATTTTGCCCAGGCTGGTCTCGAACTCCTGGGCTCAAGTGATCCTACCTCAGCCTCCCAAGTAGCTAGGACTACATGTCACCAGGTGCATGTCACCACACCCTAGTTTTTCCACCTCAATGATTTTAAAAAAAAAAAATTCAAATTGCTCCCTTTTTGTTTGGTTTGTGCTGTCATTTTCAATGGTAAATTGTCATATATTTACTATTATTTATTATACTATCATTCTTTCTGTATTTCTATATTATTGTCTTGCATTTTCTAACTTGGTGCCTGTTCTCCAATATGTGAAATTCTTGGGGGACTGAAATTACTCTCCCGTCACTCTGATGATTCACTCTGATGATACACATTTTGGTGGTGTATTTCCTTGTGTGTTTGAAGATTTTTGATTTTTTGGTAGTTTTTAATTGAAATTCATCCTGAATATTTAAATTGGGTTACTTTTTTTTCCTAAAAAAAAAAAAAAAAAAAAGCATTTGTTCTTGTGAGGAACACCACCAGCCAGAACCACTTTCTCTCCCTTTGACAGTCCCGGCTTAATGTGGGAACCTCAGGGACAGCTCCCCACTACCCTGTCCCAGACCCCAAGCTGGTCTCAGGATCAGCGCTAGTGTTGGTCTTTGCATTCACAGAAACCCAACTTTTATGTTTGTTTGCTCATGGAAACTCCCACAGGGGAGTCCTGAAAGCTGTCCCTGAGCCCGTGACACTCATACTTTAGGCAAGTTTGCTTTTGTTTATCCTGGATCTTGTCGTTTTTTAGCAGGAGGCCCTGCAGATGATCTACTCTGCAATACTTCCAGAATTTGAAGTCTTTATCTTTCATGTTTGGAAAATAACATGTGGGACACATTCCTCTCACTCCTAAAGACGTTATAAACTCTGCCTAATGTCTGAAGAGTTTACAAAGCATTTTCATGCACGTAATCCCATCTGAATTTTTCAGAACAGTCCCAGAAGGTAGGCAGAGCAAATATTATGACCACCATCAAATCAACAGGAATCTGAGGCCAAAAGCAGTGAAGTGGCTTCCCTGTGCTACTCAGTTTTATGATCTCACCTATCATAGTTAACAGTGAAAGCTCTCAAATTTCTATCTCCAGCCCAGCGTTCTCCAAAGAGGCTTGCGTTTCTTACTGCTGGGCATACTTCTTCCCCCAGATGTCTCTCGCACTTGGAGCCAACATGCACACAGTGGTACTCATCTTTCCCCCCTCTACAATTAACCTGCCCCTCTGTCTCTAGCTCTGTCTACCCTGCCACCCTAAATTGCCCAATTAATCATCAACTCTTGTTGCTTTTACTTTCTAGAACTATACTGTCCAATATAGAAGCTACAGGCACGGGGAGCTATTTAAATTTAAATAAATTAAAATGTAAAATTTGGTTCCTGTCACATCAGTCACGTTGAAAGTGTTCAAGAGTCACAAGTGTCTGGTGGCTCCTGTATTGGAGAGCACACCGTTGGATGCTTCCATCATCTCAGAGAGTTCTACTGGACAGCATCATTCTAGAAGTGTCTCAAACCCAGTGGGTCCCACTCCCTTCACTACCACTGCCCTCATGCAGAGCCTCAGTCCCACTGCCTCGCATTTTGCCCCATGTCCATCCACTCTCTCCACACTGCAGCTAGTACCAGGGCCACAAGTCTGACTTGTAACAGGCCTGCCAAGAGCCCTTCAGCCTGTACCCCACAGCCACCTCCCACCCTCGTCCCTCACCCTTTTCCACCTTAAACTCTACCTTTGAAGGTCTTAAATTGCTCTATTTGTCCCACCACACTGCCCAGGATCTCGTGACTTCGCCTTCCTCATACAATATACTTGCCCTGGAAGTGAGCTTTCCTTCTCTTACTTCCTGGATTGAGACTGTTACAGAACCCAAATTTTGAAAAGGCTTGGTGCCCCTACGTCATCCTAGATAATTAAAGCCATAAAACAAGGGTAGGTACATCAGTGTTCTTATATCTAATTATTAATGCTTTGGTGCAAAATAACAAACAAACTCTTCGTAAGCATGTTTTCACTCAGTTTTAACAGTTCCTGTTTTGCTGCTCCTCTAACCACCTACTTGCAATACGCAATGGGTAATTGTCTTAGTCCATTTGGGCTGCTGTAACAAAATATAGACTAGGTGGCTCACAAACAACACAAATGTATTTCTCACAGTTCTAGGGGCTGGAAGTCTAAGACCAAGGTGCTGATGAGGGCCTCTTCCCTGGTTCATAGATGGCTGTCTTCTCGCTGTGCCCTCACATGGTGGAAGCAGTGAGGCAGCTCTCTGGGGTCTCTTTAATAAGGGCACTAATCTCATTCATGAGGGCTTAATCACCTCCCAAAGGCCCCACCTCCTAATACCATCACCTTGGGGGTTAGGTTTCAAGATATGAATTTGCAGGGGCGTGGAAACAAACATTCGGTCTATTGCAGTAATTCAGCAATATTTTAAATCTTCCTTTAAGATTGAATCCAGGAAGCTTTCCTTAGTTGCCTTCTTCCACCAAACCTCACCCCCAGGTAGTTTTAGTACCCTCAACTCTAGACCTCTATAAGGTCCCATGAAGATCTTCAGCATCAAACCCCTACCTTATACCAAAACGATCAGCTGTTTGCGTGTCTACCTTAACCTGCTGGGCTGCAAGCCTCTCAAAGGCAGGGTCCATGTCATGTTCACCTTCATATATCCCATAGAAGGCTTAGTACATGGTGCCCAAGAATGTGTGTTGAATGCACGTGTGAGCCAGGGCTGGGTCCTGCTTCGTGCTCTTTCCTGAGCTCTGCAGTATCCTCCATGGGCATAAGGAGGCAGAACAGAACTCAGGCTTCTGACCCCACCCCCAGTGGTCTTTCCCCAGGACCCAGGAACAGTTCTCCAAGATGCAAACAGCTAAGCTGGAGAACCTGCTGAACACATCTGTCTGGGTTTGTTGTTTTAAGCAGCAGCACTATTGGCCCAGAATACTCATCCACATACTGCTTTGCATTCTAAATTCAGGATGCAAACTTCAAGCACGTTAAATTTTAAGAAGCCAAGGAAGGAAATTAATCTACTCAAATTACTTCAATTATACTCAAGCCACATCACAAGGTCACCATGCATAGGAAAGTCAGGCCAGATTTCTAAATTGCATCCTTAATTCAAAGCAATAGACCCCTAACACATTCCTTCCTTTATCTTTCATTCTTTTCAATTGAGGTAAAATTTACATAACATAAAATTCACCATTTTGAAGTGGACAATTCAGTGGCGTTTTAGTACATGCATAATGTTGTGCATCCACTACCTCTAAATGATTCCAAAACATTTTCATCGCCTCTACACAAAGCCCATGAAGCAAAAGCTCCCCATTTCCTCCTCCCCCGCGGCCTTGGTAACAACCATCATTCTGTGTTCTGCCTCTCTGGATCTGCCTATTTTGGATATTTCACATGAAAACAATCACACAACATGTGATCCTTTGTGACTGGCTTCATTTAGCATCATGTTTTCAAGGTGCATCCATGTTGTAGCGTGTGTCTGCACTCCATCCTTATTTATGGCTGAATGACATTCCATTGTATGGATACATGCCACATTTTGTTTATCCATTCATCCATCGATGGACATTTGGACTCTTTCCACCTTTTGGCTATTGTGAATAGTGCTTCTATGAACATGCATGTACTTGTATGTGAGTACGTGTTTTCAGTTCTTTGGGGCATATACCTCTTCCATTCTCTTTTGCTCTTCCTCTTTGATAAGGTTTGGCTGTGTCCCCACCCAAATCTCATCTTGAACTGTAGCTCCCATAATCCCCATGTGTTGTGGGAGGTACCTGGTGGGAGACAGTTGAATCGTGGGGGTGGGTTTTCCCGTGCTGTTCTTGTGATAGTGAATAAGTCTCATGAGATCTGATGATTTCATAAAGGGCATTTCCCCTGCACATGCTCTTTCTTGATTGCCGCCATATAAGGTGTACCTCTGTCTTCCATCATGATTGTGAGACCTCCCCAGTCATGTGGAACTGTGAGTCCATTAAACCTCTTTTTCTTTGTAAATTATCCAGCCTTGGGTATTTCTTCACAGCAATTTGAAAATGGACTAATACACTCTCCATCTCTCCTTCTCAGCCATTGATTCCTCAGAGGTCATTCTGGAGGGGCTGAGGATGGTCCATCAGAGCTCATTTACGGCCCACCCCAAACACAAGGGGATTAGCTAAACACCCTCACCCCAAGGCTATGTAGGACCTCTGAGCAGAAAGAGGCTGGGGAAATCAGTGAATACTGAGTGATAAGCCCAGCACAGCACCTGGCACATAGTAGGCTCACAATGAATATTTGCTGAGTCTGAGCAGAAACAAGGTTTAATCCAGGGGAGTCACAGAGAGACTAAGAGAAGGAGAAATAGACAGAGGTTGTAGACTGATGAGAGTCAAAAGAAAAAAGGATACCTCAGAGGTCAGCACTGTAGGAAGAGGAGCACGGATATGAGAGAGAGGAGAGAGTGAGCTCACATGAGAGAGAGGGGGGGTGCTCTTGCCAAAAGAAATCCTGAAAAAGTTGAAAAGTGATGAGCCCTAGTCAAATGGTGATTGGCTCTTTTCTGAAAGTCAGGAGTCTGATATGAAGAGAACACAGGACCGTCAGGCTGAAGATGTGAGATCAAAAGGCAGCAATGTCTCTTTTTAGCTGCATCAAATGACTTATTTTCAGTCCCTTGAAGCTTCTACAGAGTGGCCATAAAATCTGGAAACAAAGACAAGAGTATCTTACTGTATACTGGAATGTAGTATCAATAACCCATTTATTGTGGGTTTGCCCATGTTTCCGGATTTGGTGACCAACCTCCCTCTGCTTGTGGCGTAGTAACATCTACATATGAAGAGGCGGGAGGCAAAGAAGACCCTGTGACCAAAATGCTCTGCAGACGCCCAACAGTGCTACATGGCACCAGATGGTGCATTTTTATTTGAGACAGTGTCTCCCTCTGTTGCCGAGGCTGGAGTGCAGTGGTGCAATCACAGATCACTGCAGCCTCGACCTCCTGGGCCCAAGCAATCCTCCTGCCTTGGCCTCCTGAGTAGCTAGGACTACAGGCAAACACTGCCATGCATAGCTAATGTTTTTTATTTTTTTGTAAAGATGGGGTCCCACTACATTGCCTAGGCTGGTCTTGAACTCCCAGCCTCAAGCAACCCTCCTGACTCAGCCTCCCAAAGTGCTGGGGTTACAGGTGTGAGCCACTGTGCCTGGCTAACTGCAGTCTTTTTAAGAGCCTTACTTATCAGGATCCCTACCATCAAGGTTTTTCTTCATATACACCCTTACCTGGCCAATAAATTTTCCTGCTCCCATCAACATTTCTGGAGGGAGGTAGGGAAGGAAGGAAGGAAAGACAGAGAGAGAGAGAAGACATACATAAAAAATCCACAAAATGGAAAATCATTCCTTGAAAAATTGAGAGTCAAACTCCACTGGGCAACAGTTTCTCTCATGGGGTGGCAGCTTAAATAAACACTAAATCCTGCCTTTCTCCACAGTGGACTTCTGACCATGACGATGGGGCTATTTGGTTTAAGGAAATGTTCAAGTTTTGAAAGTTAAAAGTAACTGAGAGGCCAATTCCTTGCTTTGGTTCCCCGGGTTACTGGGGATTCATATTCCTATTAAATTATACCGCATCAGATGACCTATTATTCGCGGCACAGCACCACTGTGCCAAGCCCTGGGACACGGGGAGAGTCTTTTCTCATGGTTCCGTCCAACCTCTGGTCCGCGTGATGGGCCCAGGCTGGCCTGAGCCCTGGGCAGCCGTGGTCAGAACATGTCCCTAATCGGGGGCATCTGCACATGGCTGTCCCTCTTCACCTCAACAACACCGAAACGGTAGCCAGTGAGAAAGAAAACAGGCATGCTCCTGCTGAGGGCTAAACTCCCCTCCAATGTATGCCCCACAAGGGAAGGCAAGGAGTTTTGTTTTGTTGCGTCATGCAGTCCAAGTGCTCGAAACAGTACCTGCACATAGCAGGTGTCCAGTATATGTCTGTTGAATGAGGGAGCCACCCATCCGGACCTGAAGGAGCCACACTTCTCAAGAGCTGGCTGGCCTGGCCTGGAAGCAGCAAGGGACAGACACTTGAATCTTTCCTTGGTTTAGAACCAAGACCTCAGTTCTAAACCACCATGTGATCACAGATGCTGAGCTGTGTGCAGGACATGTGTCTAAATGCCCAGGGGTTCTAAACAAGAGAATGGAAAAATACCACCGCAGGGTGCACGAACATCTCTGAGCACAGCCGTGCGCTCTGAACACACAAACAGAACAGGGCCATTCCTTTCCTTTAATAGACAAAACTTGGATCCCCACGTCCTTGCAAAAACACAACAAAATGCTTCTCCCAGGACTGTTCTTGGAGAATATCTTTCCTTTTCTGGGGCAACCAGCCCTCCTGGTCCCTTCTGAGCAACAGCTGTGCTGGTGTGTTCAGCCCTATTTGATTGTAAATGTCTATCTGAATAGGCAATGCTTCCTAAATGACCAAAAACAAGCAAGCTAACAAAAAATTCACCAGGCTCAAGCATTTGAATGTATGATTTAGAAACAAAACAAAACAAAAACAGAAAACACCTGTAAGAAACTTAAAAAAGAGTGGGAAAAATAGTGCCTTATCACTCCCATCTTTCTGTTCTTAAAAAATATAAATCACATAACTTCTGTGTTAACTAAATAATCCCTACCTGAACGCTGTCATTTGTCAGGCAGTTTTATGTATAAGACCCAAATTGACGCCAATCTACCAAGGTGCTTTTGGGTGCTTTTACTCACAGATGACGAGAATGATGGACAGGATAAAGTCAGAAAGACAGAAATAAAGTGGGAAACATTCAAGTATGACAGATTTGTGGCATGCACTTATTTGCATTTTTCATTTGGTTTTGATTTACTAATTAACAAGTGGGGCAAGAAAAACACATTTGGGTTGAGCTGGAGGCTTATGCTCTCACAGTTCTTCATCTCCACTTCCTGGGGCCTTTGGTGAAATAACAATCTTGGATTTGTTGCTCTGCAATAATTTCCATGTCTAACACGGCCTTGTCATTTTACTGCAGGATTGAGTTTAGGAAATACTGGGCTGGAGAAGGAAATTCTTATCCAAGTATATATCTGAGGGAAGGGAAGGGGGAGCCACAAGGAACAATAAAGTGACCAGCCAAAGGTTTCTCAGTTACTCTCTCTCCCTCCTCTAATTCAAAACATTGTACTTTATTATTGGTGTAGCACCAGAGAGCACATTCTTTGCTCTGGTGATTCACTTCATCTTCCTGAGAACACAATGGAGAGAGTATCTCAGTATAAAGTTACTTGATTTGCCTCCGGATTCAGTCCAAGCTAAACTGCTCACTTAACGTGCTGTTTTCCCCTGAAGCGCAGCAGGTCCGCACAGGGGGCGACGGGGTCAGGGAGGGCACAGGGTGGGGCTACATGGCGGGTGGCTCCCCCTGCCAAGTCACAAGATCTTGGTTCTTTCAAGATCTCAAATCACAGATTGATGAGATCAACAAAAAGGCCTTTCCGCAGGTTGGGGAAAAAGTGAAGAAAGCTGTAGATACGGGCAGCAAGCCTCCAAGGAGAGCTGCATTGGTTTCCAGGTTGATGCTGGGTTGTGGTGGATCTGTACCAAATTCCAGCCTCAACGAGGCATGGAAATTCTAAAACATCATGGCTCATAGTGCAAAAGAAGACAAGAGATAGGAGAGGAGTGGAGAGGGGTCTGTCTGGAGATGCCAAAGAGCACCTCCCCCTACAAAAGACAGGAAGCATATATCAAGAAAGGAATCAGCCATGCAGCGTGGATAGGCAAACACACAGGACTGTGCTCCCATGAGAGGTGACTGTGTGGCTATGCATATTTGGGACAAGATCATGCTACATCTTGATTCACCTGCAGCAGACGCTTTGCTCTGCCTTTTGCTCTTCCTGTCTGGTGCTGGCAATAAGTAGTCAAAAGAAAAGTCGGAATGAGGTTAAGTCACAGGTGATTGTTCAAACCACCTTTGACTATTAGTGTCTTTCCCACAAAATCTCCCACCAAAGCAATTAGTAATCAGCGCAACTGATGGTCTGAGTTTTGATTTTTCTCTTTTTATAACCTTCAAACGCCCAGAGGTTGGCATTAAGGAGCCCAGTGCAACATAAGTCGTAAGTAACATAATTAGCCTGCAGGTCATTCAAACCTGGGCTGACAAAAGGCACTTCCCCAGGCCCCTCCAGGTGTGTGGTCACACTGCCCCTCTGACCTCTGCAGCACCCTGAGGATTAGGAAGCCACCTGGGAGATCAATACATCAAAGGTGTATGCCACAGAGGACAGTCAGAACAGGAGAAAGTGAACGTGAATCCTACAGCAGAAGAAACTTGACTAGAAGCGACCTGTGAGTAAGAGAACAGGGAGCTGATCCCTGAGAGCTTTTTGAACCAAGGACAAAGTCCACCCAACCAGACTCGCAGACAGAGAGAGAAGGACACATAACACAGCCATCACCACTGCCAACCACCCTCAGGCACCACTGCATGCTCCTGGGGGACCGTGGTCTCAACTCACAGGGTACCCGGAGCCCACTTCACCCATGAGGGGTCCTCTGGCTGCAGAGCTGGTGTGTGTGATCAGGCAGGGCCAAGGTAGGAAAAGGAAATATTGGCCACTGTGGTGGACGGAAGAGTTATTTTATATAAGGGTCTGGACTGATTTTGCTGTAGTGTGTCCCTGCCTCAAAATGCCGATAGGGAAGAAGACTGGGGAATATTCTGTCAGACAGGCTGCCTTTTGATCACAGTGGAGTTGCTGACGCCCATGTGGTTGGAAGAAGGGGTGTGTACTTCAAATGACAACTTGGGGAAACACTATGTCTCTGAAAAACACTAAAGTTTTTTTTTTGGTTTTTGTTTTTTTTTTTTCGAGATGGACTTTCACTCTTGTTGCCCAGGCTGGAGCGCAATGACACAATCTCGACTCACTGCAATCTCTGCCTCCCGGGTTCAAGTGGCTCTCCTGCCTCAGCCTCCCGAGTAGCAGTGATTACAGGCATGCGCCACCATGCCTGGCTAATTTTGTATTTTTAGTAGAGATGGGGTTTCACCATATTGGTCAGGCTGGTCTCGAATTCCTGACCTCAGGTGATCCGCCCGCCTCAGCCTCCCAAAGTGCTGGGATGACAGGTGTGATCCACCACGCCTGGCCTAAAACCACTAAAGTTTTATAAGTTCTCAGAGATGGCCAGATTTTGTTGTGACATAACAATGTCAATAAAGGCCTAAGAAAAACTTAGAAGGTCAGTGTGAATTAAAGTCTACACATTTTCATTCATTGTTTCTTTCCTTTCTCTTTTTCTTTTCTTTTAGAGATAGGGTCTTGCTCTGTTGAGCAGACTGGAGCACAGTGATGTGATTACAGCTCACGTAAGCTTGAACTCCTGGAACTAGAGGTGTGTGCCACCATACCCAGCTAGTTTTCAAAATATTTTTTGTAGAAATGGGGTCTCACAATGTTGCCGAGACTGGTCTCGAACTCCTGGCCTCAAGCAACCCTCTGGCCTCGGCCTCTCAAAGTGCTGGGATTGCAGGCATGAGCACCTCATCCAGCTGAAGTCTGCGCGTTTTTCAATGATACAACAGGGTGTGAATCCCGATAGTGAATGTCTGGGATACAGCAGGAAGATTCTTCTGCCTGTTTCATCGACAATAAGCCAGTGGTATGAAATGCCTTTGTTAAACGCCTACCTTTTCCCTTTTTCCCATCTCAGTTTCCTCATCTGGAAAATACTGGAAACACTGACACTCATTCCATCTGAAAGTGAAGTGTGACTCTAACCACAAATATAGGGAAGAGAATTGAATGTAAGGTTCTAGAAAATACCAACACTCAATATTCAACCACAAATCACCAAATGCAACAAATACTAACTGGATATCTATTATCTACAAGGTATGTTAATAAGCTTTTGGGATTATCAGATTACCCTTTTGGAATTATCAGATTACCCTTTTGGGATTATCAGATTACCTCTGTGTAGTTCACATTTGCACATGAAACAGGCTTTAAAATACACTACAAATAGACTGAATGGTATCTCCTATTTAGCTAGATATTCAGTTAGGGCTTCCCCTCCCCTTTGATATCCTTGAGATAAACTAAAAGATCACACAACCTCCTCCCTCTATTGTTTATCAATCAGAAAGGATCAGTAAAGGTCTGTGGTCAAAGGTGGGTTGACAGAGACAGAGTCCCTTCTTAGAGGACTCACAATGGCCTCAAGGAGAACGTGCCAAGCCGGACGGAGACCCCTGCTACTCACTGCCTTTTCTCAAAGTGGCCCTGGAAAGATCGCCGGGAGATCTGGGCCAGTCAGAAAGTCTAGATCTATCTTCAGCCAACCACAACATGACTATGACTTCTTGAATTCTTCTGAGCTCAGGGTCCCCCTGACTCCTGCCTTTCTTGGACACCTGCCTCCATGACACCAGCAAACCCTGCCTGCCCTGTCTTCAAAATCTATCAGTACCCAATCTGCTCACCACCTCCACCACTAACACTGTGGACTAAACCATCACCATCTGTTATCTAAACCACTGCAACAGCCACCTAACATGCCTTTTTCGTTCTACTTTGCCCCTCCAGCCTATTCTCTACACAGTGGCCAGAAGGATCCTTTTAAAATATAAACCAGATGATATCATTCCCAGTAGGTAACCCTCAAAAGTCCTCCTCCTCAGAGCAAAAACCTTTTCAGGGTATTTTTCACAATCATTAGGGTGGTGCACAAAGCCTAACCCACGTAGGGCCCTGGCTTGCTCTCTGACCTAGCTTCATTCTACTGATGCAGCTTCTCAGCAGGGAAACGCTGAAGGCCCCAGCCAGTCTCCTGCCACAGGACCTTTGCACATGCTATTTCCTCAGTGCAGATGCTCTTACCCCAGACAGCCACACAGCTTTCTCTCTCCCCTTGTCACATCTCTGCTCACATATCATCTCCTCAGAGAGACCTTCTGTGTTAGGTAGACCTGCCCACCTAACACAGCGTGTCTGGTCATATTCCATCTTCTTAAAATGCCTGCTTTTTAAAATACATGTCTCCATAGCATTGGTCACTATCTGGCATTACATTGAATTTATTAATTTATTGTTACCTCTTCCACTAGAATGCACGTTTCATGAGTGCAAGAAGTTCGTGTGGTGCCTTTTAATATCCCATATGTCACATAGCTGATAGTCAATAATTCTTTGAGTAACCTTCTCAAATTTATTGTCTTCATTGGCTAAAGGGAGGTAATAACGACTCATCTGTCTCAAAGAGCTGTCCAATGCTAAAATGAAGTAATATACGTGCAAGCATTTCAAGAAGTATCAGTACAATATTCTGTAAGTGGAAGGTGTAATTTGTTTGTCCACTGCCTTGGAACAAAGCAGAGTCCACAATTCGGTCAGCCTCATCATCATCTGCAGGAGATGCTCAGGAAATGTTTGGGACGTGTCGTGGTGGTAACTGCAATCCCCCAACTCAGAACATTTTCCATGGAAAAAGAAAGTGAGGGATCTGGGAGAATATAACACAGAAAATCTTGGGGTTCAGAATGTTACAAGAATGCTAAGCAGCCCTGCTGTAATATGTAATTCTATATTCGGAAACTTCGGAATAGACCAGTGCTAGAAATAAAAGAGCCCTATTTACCAGTGTGTACACACACACACACACACACACACACACACACACACACACACACAACCAGCACCAATCCTACTGTAGCATGGGGGGTCCTGCTGAGGTTTCCACAAGGTTTCCACTAGTTGCTATGGCTTAAGATCCAAAACACTCTGAATTGCTGACGCTGGTGCCTTCTGGAACTCAGGTTTTTGAAAGTCTCATCACCCTTTTGGTCACTTGTATCATTTTCCCTCATTTTGTACTGCTGTTCCCAACAATTAGGATGGAGAATCTAAAAGGTAGTGAGAAAAAGGAGAGCATCTGGGTTTCGATAGCACCATAAGAAGAGGATGGAGACCTCAGAGCCAGGGTGGGCTTGAGGGAGGGGAAGAAGGTATTTGTACACACGCTCCCAGGATAGAAATAAAACCCACAGAAATAGAGCAGTGAGGTGGCACCACTGCTGGCTGCAATCAGTGCCAGACAAGGTGGTTCCGGAACTGGGCTGCAGGCATGAGGAGGGAAGAGGGGAAAGAAGATTTTCAGGGACCTGATCCAGTGAACAAAGGCAACTGCACAAAGATGACAGAGAAAAGAAATGCACCCCGTCTCTGCAGACCACGTCCCATTTCAAATGCTAGGGCTGCTTAAAAGTCCTTCCCAGGTGCGGTGGCTCACGCCTGTAATCCCAACACTTTGGGAGGCCAAGGCGGGCAGATCACATGAGGTCAGGAGTTCGAGACCAGCCTGACCGACATGGTGAAACTCCATCTCTACTAAAAATACAAAATTAGCTGGGCATGCTGGCGCATGACTGTAACCCCAGCTACTCGGGAGGCTGAGGCAGGAGAATTGCTTGAACCTGGGAGGCGGAGGTTGCAGTCAGCCGAGATCGTGTCATTGCACTCTAGCCTGGGCAACAAGACCAAAACTCTGTCTCAAAAAAAAAAAAGTCCCTCCTGCAGTCCATGGCAACGTGCAGTCAGTTGATGGTTTCACTGGGTAGAGGGAATGTGGATAGTTAAAATTCATAACCGTAAGCCCTATTTTAGGTTAAATCTCATTCCCTGCAACTTTCCCCTTCACATTCCGAACAGCCAAAGTCCCTCTGTATAGACCTTTTCAGTGTGCCTTGTGTTGAATAGTCTTAGACAGTGGAGAATGTCTTGCTTAAGAATGAATATATTGACTCCTGACAGTAAGCCAAATGGTTTGCAAAGTGGCATACGTGCACGATCTTACTGCATCTTTATAATCACCACACATGGTAGTCACCATTACTATACCCACTGCAGTTTGGGAGAAAACTGACTCTCAAAGAAGAAAGTAACTTACTCAAGGTCATGTGATTGATGAGGGCAGAACTGGGACATGATCCCAAACCCACACAGTCATCATTACACTATGATGCCTACTGATAACTACAGGAGTCATTCCTTAATTTTTCTTTTATTATTTTTTAAGTTTTTTTGTAGAGATGGGGTTTCACGATGCTGCCCTCCCGGCCTCAAGTGATCCTCCTGCCTCAGCCTCCCAAAGTGCGGGGATTACAGGTGTGAGCAACCATGACCAGCTCAGTTGAGTAATTCTGAGAGCAGAGATGACAAAAGAGTTGGCCCAAGGCTCAGCAGTCATGGGCACAATGCAAGAACCCAGAAGCAAACATCAGTTCTGCCACTCAGCCTAGGTGAAGCCACCCCTGGGTGGGGACAGGAGAGTCCTTTAGGGCCCCAATCCCCACAGTTCTTGGGTCAAACTGCCAGACCTGGATAGAACAAGGTGGAAAGCTTTTAAAAGGCTGGTGTCATATTCAGCTCAAGAAGGCTGAAGTTGCCCTGGAAGAAAGGGACCACTGGAGAAACAGCCCACAACAGGCAGAATGATGTCCCATAGAAGAGGGGTCCCCAACCCCAGGGCTGCAGACCCGAGGCACTGGCCTGTGCCCTGTTAGGGATTGGGCCGCACAGCAGAAGGTGCATGGCTGGCGATGAGCATTTCCGCCTGAGCTCCACCTCCTGTCAGATTAGCCTTGGCACTAGCTTCTCATAGGAGCACAAACCCTATTGTGAACCGGGCACACAAGCGATCTAGATCGCGTGCTCCTTCTGAGGATCTAATGCCTGGTGATCTGAGGTAGAACAGTTTCATCCCAAACCACCCCCCTCCCCACCTGGTCCATGGAAAAATGATCTTCTACAAAACTGGTCCCTGGTGTCAAAAAGGTTGGGACTGCTGCCTAAGACACACGTGCTAGGGGATAAGGGAAAGATGAAGAACGAGCAACTCAGCTCCTAGAAAAATGTGCTGCAGGCTTCCACCCAGGGCATGCTCACCTGCCTCGGGGAATGAGCAGCTGGGCCAGGCTCTAGTTCACTGTCCCCACCTAATTTCCTCCAGGCAGGCAGACAGAAAGATGCTGAGGGCTCCCAGGCCATAAGGCAACTGGAGCGCTAGAAAGGTCCCCAGGCAGAACTCCCTTTGGTGGGGACAGAAGGGGTCACGTGAAGCAAAAAGAGCCAATGCGCAGTCATCAGCAAGTCCCGAGAGCCAGAAAAACACTTTTCTCAGAGCTTTCGATTTGCGAGGTTTGTGGAGTTTTGGTCACAGCTTCCCAAACCACCACCAATGCACCTGGGTGGGGATCTATCATCTTGAGGTGAAAGTCTTAGTCCTGTATTAGGAATGCTGCAATACCCAAAGCAATCTCAAAACAAAAGAGAGCAAACCTTTAAAAATCTACTTACAAAATCACATGTATGGGGTGATGTCATTTGTATATGCACACACATTTTAAAAGGTATATACACATACTTTTTAAAAGGCTGAAACAAAATTGTAGTTAGCTGGATGATGGAGTATGAATAATTTCTATTGTCTTATTTTTGGTTATCTCTATTTTATAAATTCTTCATACTAAGTACATTCTATTTGTAATAAAACACACCTACATTATTTAAAACAAAAAGTTTAAAAGTATTTCACTTAAACAGACCACCAATATCCCCACTTTCACCAACGCTTAACTTTATTTCTTAAAGAAGTTGTTAAATACTCTCAGATGACTAGAAACATATTTGGAATGCCTCTTTCCATCTGATTAAAAGATTACTCACTGCAGTCCAATTTATGGTAATGCTGCTAGAAAAAATAACCCAAAAAATGCAGCTTCTGTTTCTGTTTGAATATCACAATATTACCTCAACTCCAGCTGGAAGATGGAAAAACAACATCTGGGATTTAAAGACCATCTTCACTTACATGCCGAGTTTTGGAAGAAAATGGTAACTGGAGGGAAAAAAACTTAAATACAACTAAGCAGGATTTCCAGAGCAGATTCTTGGTTCCTGTGGTTGGGCTCATGTTGGTTCAGTGACATTACCAGGACCTTCCCAGTGAGGCTTAGAGGCCTTTTCCCCTTCCCTTTCTTCCTTTCTCTCCCCTTACATCCCTTTTTTACTTCTCCTTCTCCCTGTTTATCTCCGTTTGCCAAATTCAAATTCAATTGTTTTCTGGATCTGATAGTAAAAAAAAATACTGTTATCAGCCATGCAATCCCTAAAACATTAGCACATAAATTGACCTGGATGAACTTCAGCCAGCAATTTGTGTAACCTACAAGTTACACAAACTCATTGTGGAGACAATGAAGTATATATGCAATTATACCCAGTATACTCAGGTTTGAATTTCAACCGATCATCCTCTCCAGCTGCTAAAACTGGGACAGACTGGTAAGACTAGGACAAATTGGTCACCCTACTGTCACAGAACATCTCTTCAATAAAGCCTCACATGATCTGGTAGGCTAGAGGTCACATGTGCACGCGTGAACAGTCACACACTCACATATGTACTCACACACAAAGACACCACACGCCTGTCTGTGTGCCTAAATCTCACATTGCAGCTTGTCTTTTTCCCCCTTTCTGCTCCAGCCAATTTTCACATTCCACCTTGTCATTATGAACAATGTTTCTCCTTCTAATTACTCATGTCCTCATGTCTTACCCTGGTTGGACATGGGATATCCCTCTGTGAAATCTGGAAAGAATGTCTTGCCAATTTCACGTGTTTATAAAATGCAATCATTGGCTCAAAAAGATCTCCCTTCCCCAGATCCTGATGGTCTTTTCCTTTCTCTTGATAGTATCAACGTGTCTAAAAGTGATGTACCTCTGACCTAGGCATGAGGCGTGTGACCTGACAGTTGACGTCAGATTGTAGGTGGCTACACATCCCCTGTTCATTTGAAAGCAAGGGCTACGGGGCAAGGCTCCAGGACCTCAGGCTCTGGAGGAGGCCCCTTGGTTTGAGCCAATGTGCTGGCTTTGTTTGTGATGGAGACAGCTAGAAGCACTTCCCTCTAGGGGCTGTTTCATGATTAAACACCGTCTAGCAGGAAAAGAAACCTCTAAAAGTGCCAGGCCACTCTAAAGAACTTGTCCAGTTATCTATGTCGACAATGTGCAACTTATATAAAGATGTCAGTTACTGCCTACAGCTGCTAGCAAGTTGGAAGGAAAAAACAAAAACACTTTTCAAATCAGAATTACAAGTGCTGAAATATTCCACAAGTTGTGGCCGTAAGTTAAATAACATGATTCTACAGGGAGTATTAAAGATTCCAAAATCTTTTCTGTTTTTTCACCCCAAGTCCCCTTTAGCAGAGTGGAATATAAAATGTCCAAAAGTATAAAACAAACACGAGGTTGCCACGCTCATCTTGACATTAAAAAAAGACATGTTTAGAAACGCTTTTTCATACTTGTAGGGCAGTAAGATCAGGAAATCTGGAAAGCTTCTCCGGCTCTAATTCGTATGTATTTGCTTATTTTTGATCTGCTGCAATCCTCTGTATTTTGTAAATTCTGAGAAAAATCAGCAGAACAAAACAGTCTAAGCCATGGATTTGGTCTATTTTATGCTTTTTAAAAGTTTTCAAGTATCCAGTCCAATTATAAATGTGTTTTTAAAAAATGTGTGACCTGATCTAAATTTACCCACCTGTTGGGCCCACAACATGACATCCCAGACAAGCTGACTGATGGCTTGCCATCCACAAACCTCAGTTTTCTCACTTTGCAATGTGAGGCATTTGTACAAGATGATTCCCAAAGCCCTTCGCAACACTACATTTCTATCATTACTGGAGATGTTCTAGATAATCTAATATCTTGGTTAGCAAAAGGCCAAATCTAAATTTAAAAATACACTTTCAATTCAGCTTTAAAACATCAGGCAGTTTTTTTTTTTAATTATACTTTAAGTTCTAGGGTACATGTGCACAATGTGCAGGTTTGTTACATATGTATACATGTGCCATGTTGGTGTGCTGCACCCATTAACTCATCATTTACATTAGGTATATCTCCTAATGCTATCCCTCCCCCCACCCCCCACGCCACGACAGGCCCCCGTGTGTGATGTTCCCCGCCCTGTGTCCAAGTGTTCTCATTGTTCAATTCCCACCTATGAGTGAGAACATGCGGTGTTTGGTTTTCTGTCCTTGTGATAGTTTCTCAGAATGATGGTTTCTAGCCTCATCCATGTCCCTACAAAGGACATGAACTCATCCTTTTTTATGGTTGCATAGTATTCCATGGTGTATATGTGCATCAGGCAGTTTTTGACCTTAATATATAATCACATCATTTTTTAATAATTGAGCATCCTGCACCACCTCCACATAAGCATCCACTGAAAAGATAAGAAGTCCAGTGTTGTTTAGTTGATAGAACTTTGAACACCAGAAGACCTGGGAAGAACAGCATATGCCTATTTTTTCTCACATTAAAAAAACATGATAATCAAAGGAGCTCATTAACACACTTAAAAGCATGTTACAAATTGTAAAGTTAAAAAGCAAGGTATTGAAAAAATAGACTGAATGTTTTGAAAGCTGGTTTCTCTCGAGTGGACTGGTGATGAGAAGGTGAGGACGTGTATCTTTGTTTGCCTTTGTTTCTGAGTTTATTGATCTCTTTCTTTTCCAAGTAGAGTTCAGAACAACAGACAACCCTGGTTAACTGAAGGATCTGATCTTAGTAACTGAAATATTGCCACAATAAAAAAGAACGACCAGCTAATAAGCCATATGAAAAACAGTAGAGTAATAACTTCTGCCTACGTAGCATTCTATACTATTTTCCCCTAATGTCATAGTGTTTTTTTTTAATCTAATATATTATCCCTCCAAGGGAAAACTGACATTAAAGGGTTAAAAAATAGAAGAAAAAACAATCACTACCAAAACAAAGTATACTCTGCTGTGCACTTTAATCAAGTAAAACTAGTTTTCACAGTTTAATTAATAAACAAACCATTAGTCTAAAATAAAGGTCAACATGAACAGAAAGCAATTATGGATGGGGCTTTAACTGAGAGCCCTTCCACCAGAAGGGATTCTCTCAAATTTTGCTTTAACTTCATCTCCCCTACTGGTGATGCCATGGCTGAATGTACTGATACTTTCCCAATTTTACTTCTGCTTCAAATCTAAAGTCAAATCAGTGGAAAATACATGGCATTTGTGGTCACACAGACCTGGGTTTAAATTCCAGCTCTACCACTTATCAATGAGCATGACCTTGAAGAGTTTTTTTGACCCCCAAGCTGCTTACCTTTAAAACAGGGAGGATATCTGTTCTGTGGATTACGGAGGGGATTAAACGAAGAGCCCACAAGTTACACAAATGTAAACTCCATTCTCTTCCACTACTTCTATGTATTTCTCTGTTTCCACTATTTCCTGCTCCCTTCTTAATCCATTTGTCAGAATACATACTCAATTAATGCTGAACAATGGTGTAAGTACACACACAAGCCTCTCCAGCAATTTTCTAACCTACTAACTGATGGCTTTGCAACCTAGGAGACCGGACTTCCTTAGTCCTTTACTGTGTGAAATATTCTAAAATAAAATTACAACCCCATCCTAAAGAGTCACCAAGTCAGACTGTAACAATTTTGCCAACAAGCACAGCTTAGGCCATATCAATACACCAGTGATTAGTAAAATGCCCCTGCCAACCATTTGGTTTCCAGCCAGAACGACTATTTATTTCTACAATGCTACTATGTTCTGTTTCCTCTTGCTCTATTTTTGGATAAATGGGTTGTATTAGGAAGTCCAGCAACTGGAGACAAAGGAAAATGTTAACACGAAGCACATCTTTACTGTTAAACGCCCACTGTTAATTATAACGGGAATGAATTAAGCCATTTTCTTCCCTTCTTAGGGGTCTAATTACAGTGTGTGTTCTCTATTTTTTAAAATTTGGTATTTTGTATTTTTAAATTTTAGTATTTAAAACTTTTTGAATTTGTAATTCAACTGTGTGATCCTTCTATGATCATTTTAACCTCCAAAATGTTTTCATAATACTGTAATTTCAACCAAGACTAAGGTTTTGCCACTGCCATGTTAATTCTTAGCAAAAGTAACTTAGCAAAAGTAACAGTAGGTACTATTTATTAAACATTTATTATGTGCCAAGCACAGTGATAAGCTTTTTATAAACATCTGATTTATTTCTCTCAATCCCAATTATTATCCTAATTTACTGATGTGAAACTTGCTCCAATTCTTAAAGCTTATCAGTGGCAGAGCCAGGATTCAAGCCCAGATATTTTTTATTCAGAAGTTCTTGCTCTTAGTCACCCTGCTATTCTGCACACATAGAGGCAGTTGCGGCACATCCAAAAATATCTCCAAGTTCATCAGTGTTTAGGTGCCACAGCACTCGGTAGAGGTCTGGAGTCCTCAGCTTCTAGGAGGTATTTTGAGTAATGACTCTAATAGCTTGGTAAGAGAAACCAAGGCTGACCCTTTAAGTCCCAGGAATTCTTGGGCATATCATGAGAGAAGGGATCCCAGAAAAGGAAGAATAATCTTACAAGAGGTGATTTAGGAACTTAGCATCACACAATTTGAATATTTTGAAAGACATTTAAATAGGCTCATTTTATCCTCTAAACAGAGAAAATTATTATTATTTTACTTTAAGTTCTGGGATACATGTGCAGAATGTGCACTTTTGTTACATAGGTATACATGTGCCACGGTGGTTTGCTGCACCTACCAACCTGTCACCTAGGTTTTAAGCCCTGCATGCATTAGGTATTTGTCCTAATGCTCTCCCCCTCCCCTGCCTCACCCCGACAGGCCCCGGTATGTGATGTTCCCCTCCTTGTGTCCATGTGTTTTCATTTAAATAGAGATAATTATTAGTTATTACTGATTGAGGAGACCAAGACACTAAGATCAAGCTACATACTTAATGTAGGGACAGAACAGGAACTGGTGTATTGGCCTCCTGACCCTCACATCATTACATGTCTCCTGCCAATGGCTTGAAGAGTGAGAATGAGAGGAAGAGAAAGGTAGAGAGAGATACTTCCTACAGTTATTAGTGAAGAATTCAGAGACTGTAACAAAGGATAAGATTTAAAAGGATATTGTACACTGTATGTGAAAGAAGAAAAAAAACACTCAAACTAAAGAACAGCAAAAGTCTGCAAACAACAGGAAGACAGAAATCGGGGAGTGGAAGAAATACAACCTTATGAATGAAGAGAAGCTAAGAGTTTTTGACATCTGGCTGTTTTAAGCAAATTTCTAAAATGGACTCCTAAGATTTCTTGCCCTAATTCCCAGGAGTATAAACATGATGAGATGTCATGTCCTGATTAAGTTACGTGGCAATAGGGATTCTGCAGATATAATTAAGGTTACTAATCAGTTGACTTTGAGTACAATCAGAAGGGAGATTGCCCATGTGGGCCTAATTGAATCTCAGCAGCTCTTTAAAAGCACATAGTTTTCTCTAGCTGGTAACAGAAGAGAGAGGCAGAGGGATCCCAGGCATAATGAGCTGTTATTGGCTATGAAGATGGAAAGGGCCACTTGGTGAGAAATACAGGCAGCTTCTAGGATCTGAGAGCAGCCCTGGCTGACAGTCAGCAAGAAAAGGGGCACCTCGGTCCTATGACTGCAAAACTGAATTCTTCCAACAACCTGAAAGGAAGGATTGGACTACCTGGATGTCCCCAAGCTGGCCACCAGTGGTCGCAACATCTAAGAACAGCTGGGCTTTCCCTCCGTAGAGGAAATCAGAAAAGGGAGTGACTGATGGGGCAGTAGGGGTGAGGGGGTCACTCTTTAGGTGGCTACTTATACAGTGACTGTTTCCAACTCAGGTATTCAAAATCAAGGGAATTATAAAGATAAATTAATAAATTGCAAGGAGATGCTATGGAGTATCTATAGAAATTTTCAAATATATATTTTCTATACTGGGTTTGGTGGGTTTTTTTTTTTTTTTTTTTTTTTTTTTGAGACAGGGTCACACTCTGTCACCCTGGCTGGAGCGCAGTGGTGTGATCACAGCTCACTGGACCCTTGAACTCCTGGGCTCAAATGATTCTCCCACCTCAGCCTCCCTAGTAGCTGAGACTACAGGCACATGCCACCATGCTCAGCTAGTTTTTTAAATAGTTTTTTTTTTTTTTTTTTTTTTTGTAGAGACAGGGATCTCACTATGTTGCCCAGGCTGGTCTCAGATTCCTAGGGTTAAGCAACCTCTTGCCTTGGCCTCCAAAAGTGCTGGGATTACAGGTATACGCCATCATATCTGGCCTCAAATATATTTTTATGTAATGATTTACTTAAAACCCATGTCATTCCACAAAGTATTGGAGGTGTTTTATAAAAATCAAATAATATATCATCATAAAAATAAATGAGAAACTAAAGAGAGAAAACACAATCAGAGATATACAAATTATGTGTCATGAAGATCCCTTATCTACTACCATGCCCACTAATTTTATATATATATATATATATATATATATATATATATATATATTTTTTTTTTTTTTTTTTTTTTTGTAGAGACAGGGCTTTGCCATGTTGCTCAGGCTGATCTTGAATACCTGCCTCAGCCTCCAGTGCTGGAATTACAGGCAGAAGCCATCACACCTGACCCAGCATGTTTTTTTTTTCCTCACCTTTGTAGAAATCACTGAAAACACAGATACGTGGCCAGTTACAGAACTCAGAGAAAGGTAGCCCAGGAAAAGCCCAGACCTGGGGGAGATCCTGGTGTGTGTCCTCACAAATGGGACACCATGTCAATCATGTGGGTGAGGTCACCACGGCACTTTCAGAAACATAATAATGAAATTCACAGAGCTGTTGAAAATACACCACAGGCACTTATAGTTCTTTCTCAGTTTCTTTTTCATGTGTTCTACATATTTTACATTCAACTTTGATATTTTTCTTCTTGATTTATATGGGCTTTTTATATAAGAATAGGTCTTTGCCATATTTATTGTCTATCATATTTGCAACAAATATACCAGAGGGTTAATGTGTATATGTTTAATTTTGTTTATATTTTGACATGTGTCTGAAAATTTTATGTCATCTAATATCTGGGTATTTCTTTACATATACTGTATGTGTAAGAAATGTATCTACATGTGTACATGTACATTATACAGTCTCCTATTACTTATAGCCAGAAAGCTTTTCTCCATTGAGAGACCAGTTAAAACCATCACCTTTATTTTCTTCTAGTTTGTAATAGTTTAATCTTGTAAATTTCAGTTGCCCAAAGTCTACTGAATTTCAAATGTGTCTAGGCCAATGTTCCTAAGAACTGGAATGGATAGTATTCTTCAAGCAAACCAAAGGAACCTTTTTCTAAGACTGAAAATTTAAAATAGTTATTATATGGAATTAATTCACTGAGTTCTGAGAACACGCAGATGGATTCACTGATTACTCCCTCTCCCTAAAGTCCTTCCATTTTTCTCAATCCAATAACACAATTCTGTCAAAGTATATAAAATGTACAAGCCTTGATCTAACTCAACCCTAACCCAAAACAGCTAAATGTTGAATTTGGAAACTCAGTCTCCTCGCTTTGGGCCCCCCACCCTGCTCTCTCCATTTGAACACCTGCCTATGTTGATACAAAGCTATGAGCAGAGGCGCTACCCTGTTCTAACTATTTGCAGAACAGTAATTTTCATATATATATTTTTCACTTAGTTAAGAATCCCAGTTTTTTAAAGTAAATATTTTCATCACCAGAGGCTTTTTATCACCCAAACAGAAAATTAGGTGCTTCCATTACTGAAGTTATCTGCAGAAAGCATTCTCATCTCTGCAAGAGTTTAACTGGAAGTTTAACGAAGGGAAATGTGAACTGATGTGAATTTAATAAAGGGAGGAAGATGTTAGAGCGACAATGAAGAGGCCTGGAATCAATTAGGTCAAATTATACCCTGTGTTACTTGTGTAACTCCCGTTACAGTCAAATGAAACAGCAGAAAAGAACACTACCCTGAACTTAGGCCCCATTTCAGAACGGAAAGTGCTTCATAAACAGTATCTGAATCAAGTCATTTCAAAGGGTGGGTCAGGAATTGCCGACTGAAAATGCTTTTCTCCGGGAACATACATTTGCCCGAACTGGGGCTCAACCCCATAGCAACCAGTCGAAAGGCGGACATAGCAACTACCATGCCAGCGCTACATCCCTCCAAATCAGACCTTCCTTCTAGATAGTCTCCCATTTTCTCCCCCAAGCAAGTATATCCCAACCCAAGACCCCCAGAGGAGCTTGGGAAGCCGTGCACCTAGGAGAGGTGTCCTGGACTTCTGGGGCCAGAAGCAAGGGGGCCTGGGGGAGCAGCTCTGTTCACCTGGGAATCATTGCTACAGTCACTGAGAATGTAGGCTGAGAGGTGTCAGCAGCCTGTGACACAGTGACAGGTGGATGCCTTCTCAAGACGAGAATAGCCCCAATTTACACACTGGCCTTTGATGCCCTTGAGTATGAGCCTTGAGATTTACCAAGTGGGACTGATTCGTCCCAAAGCATGAGCTGTCCTGAGGTAATGGGGCACCTATCAGGCCATGGTGGGGGCCCTGGGGGCCACATGGGGGTACCTATCAGGCCCTACACATTGAAGATACTTCAATGAGGGCCCAGTTTCAGACCCAGGCTTCAAAGTATGGCTGTGGCGGGGTTTGAATCACAGCCCCAACTGACTCCACTGTTGTCATACCCACAGGATCGTGTAGCTAAGGATGTTTCCTCTCAGAGACCCCATCGCCAAGAATCAGTGTTGGCCTAGGTAGCAGAGAAGCAAGATAAGAAAGAGCCAAATGTACCATATACTTTGAGTGTTCCCTTCTTTCAAGAACAAATGTATTTTCATGCTTCATACACATAGTTTTAGTAAAATACAATGAATGCAATTATTAAGTATAGTGAATGACTCAAAATAATCTGAAGGATTCTAAGATCCTTTGGTTAATTTTCACACTTCATAAGCTTCCACTTTGTAATATCCAAGGAAGAAAGATCTAAGACAAATATGAATACCATGAGCTACCCAAGTACAGGGACTTCCCATGTACAGGTACATGTCTGGAACCAAGTCAGTACCTCTGTAAGAGTTTAATGCACGCAGAAGACCTGGAGGGAAACACAAGAAAAGACCGACCATGGCTGCCGGGATTGGCTCTGCCACCAGCTGCCTCTGGAGCCTTGGGAAAGTCACTTGAGCTAAGATTACTGGGCCTCAGTGAGCTCTTTTGCAAATTCAAGATATTGAACTGATGTCTTCTCATACCCCTCGGAGCTTTAAGAATTCCATAATGCTATCTACGTAGCTGTTTTCTTAAACTTTGAGGGTGGGTTGGGGGGTTATCCCACAACTTGAGTGACATCATTTTGTATTTATCGATAAGATGAACAATTGGCCTGGAGCAAATGTCCAATTCTTATTCTCCAGCGAATCAAAGAAATCTATTTGAATATGACTTTAAAAAATTTTCCCCATCAATACATACAATTAACCAAGAAAATAAGATCCAACTTTAGGAATCTGTAGAGGATATATAAACATCTTTGTTTTAAAAAAATGGTTTGAAAACTTTGAGCTAACATTCTCTAGCTGTGCAGAATAGGTAACAATGAATATTTGCTCAGTGAATAAATATATAAGTGGTCTCTTTGTACAAGAGATTTTGGCATTAATATGATCTATTTTAATAATCTCACTCAGTTTCCCTTAATTTTGCTGTCTTTGATAATGTTTTGTTCCCTAGAAAAATTCCTAAGCATTCAAACCGATGAGGCTACTTTGTACATAGCAAGTCTTTTTTGCAAGCTGAACGCAGTATGAATTCATACTCAATCATGCACTGTTCAGCCATTGGGCTGTCGACCCTAAAAAATCAACAAATAGCATTTGCAGTAATAACCATGTTCGCCTATTTTACGGAGTCTGAAGCTTCCGACTGAATGGTGGTGGGTGGAATGTGGTCAATGGTCAGGAGTATCTCCTGGATTAAATGTTTTCTGGCATTCTTCAGAGGAGGAAAGCAGTTAGTCTGCATTTAATTTTTAAACCGCATTTCATCCTTTTCCGCCTCTACATAGCCACACACAGGAAAAAAAAAATCCTGTTGCTCATGCTACGCATTCTTTTTACAATTCTTCTGGGCTGTTCTTCCATTTCTGTTTAGAACAGCTAATCTTCCACAAACCTGGATTGAGTGCAAGAGGCACATTTTGCACATCCCTAATCACACAAATATAAATAAGGTTTGGACACCATTAACCCCTTGAACAGCAGCTTTTTTTCCTGGCCACGGATCCAAGGAAGGCTCAGGAAACACATGATATCTATTTCCCACTCATTCCAATGAGTTTATTACAGGTTGCAAAAAGCTACCAGAAAGTTCCACTTAAATAAACTCCAGCCCAAAGTTTTTAAAGGAAGTTATCACTTTTACATTTTTTAGTCAACATGTTTAAAAAGCGTTTTTTTTTTGGGGGGGGGTGGGGGGTACTATACGCCCATTGGAAGAAATGGAGCCCTCACCAAACCCCTATGTTTTTAAAAATTAGCCCTAAATTTTCCTTATGATCACATGTGCTCAGGATCCTCAAGGCACAGAAGTGCTCACGGGAAGCGGATGCCTCTGATCAGAGTAGGTGAATGTTCACCAATTTTTTTTTTTTTTTTTTTTTTTTAGAGACAGGGTCTTGTTCTGTTGCCCAGGCTGGAGTGCAGTTCCACTATCATAGCTCAATGCAGCCTCCACCTCCTGGGCTCAAGCAATCCTTCTGCTTTAGCCTCCTGAGTAGCTAGGATCACAAAAGCATGCCACCACACTGGCTAATTTTTAAATTTTTTGTTTGAGACATGATCTTGTCATGTTACCCAGGCTGGTCTCAAACTCCTGTACTCAAGCAATCCTCACACCTCAGCCTCCCAAAGCACTGGAATTATAGGCATGAGCCACTGTGCCCAGCCTAACTTTTTGAAGGTAAATAAAATCAGACAAAAGTTTGGTGCTAGTTGGAAATGAAGAAGGAAAGCGTTTCGGGGAACATCCAAATCTTCTTTAGACTTCCCATGTCCTAAGAATAAATGCAAAGTTTAAAATGGACAATTCAGAACTGGCAGTCTTAAGAAGTTATGTGCAATGCAGAAATGTCAGGCGATTGGTTTTGTTAAGTTTGCAATGATCGCCCCCCCAAGAGGCTCTGAGCAGTTTCTGGTAAATGAAATGAGTGGTTAACACATTTCAGAAATACTTCCTCATCCACCTATCAGTAAATCTTCAGATTTTGCAGAAGTTTGTTTTCTACCAACCAAAGTACAAGCTGACTAATTTTAAGTGCAATCTCTTTATATGCATATTTTCTTTCCTTTTAACATTTAAGGCCGGGCGCGGTGGCTCACGCCTGTAATCCCAGCACTTTGGGAGGCCGAGGTGGGCAGATCACAAGGTCAGGAAATCAAGACCATCCTGGCTAACACGGTGAAACCCCATCTCTACTAAAAACACAAAAAATTAGCCGGGTGTGGTGGCGGGTGCCTGTAGTCCCAGCTACTTGGGAGGCTGAGGCAGGAGAATGGCGTGAACCCGCGAAGTGGAGATTGCAGTGAGCTGAGATCGTGCCACTGCACTCCAGCCTGGGCAACAGAGCAAGACTCCGTCTCAAAAAAAAAAAAAAAAAAAAAAAAAGTAAAGACTTCCCGTTAGTAATACAAAAAGAACTGCAATCAATTGCAGGCACAGGCATTTGCAGGCCAATGTCTGCATTCTTTGGTTGTCTTCAAAGTGTACCTGAAGTGTAATGGAAGGTGAAGGCTGTCCATTCCTCTTTGGGTAGTTTGAATTGCTCTGTCTTCTTTCTGACTGACTCTAACCTCCAACATAACAAGGGTTTTCAAACTTAGCATGCATTAGAACCACCTGGAGGGCCAGTAGAAACACAAATTGCTGGGACCCGCTCCTGGAGTTTCTGAATTGGTAGGTCTGGGATGGAGCCCCAAAATGTGCATGTTAAACAAGGTCCCGGCCGGGCGCGTGGGCTCAGGCCTGTGATCCCAGCACTTTGGGAGGCCAAGGTGGGCGGATCACTAGGTCAGGAGTTCGAGACCAGTCTGGCCAACATGGTGAAACCCCGTCTCTACTAAAAATGCAAAAATCAGCCGGGTGTGGTGGCCTGTGCTACTCTGGAGGCTGAGGCAGGAGAATCACTTGAAACTGGAAGGTGGAGGTTCCAATAAGCAGAGAGTGCGTCACTGCACTCCAGCCTGGGCAACAAGAGCAAAAATCTGTCTCAAACAAACAAAACAAAAACAAACAAACAAAAAACAACGAGGTCCCAGGAGATGCTGATGCTGCTGGTCCATGGACCACACTTTGAGAACTGCTGCCCTTTGTATATCGAAAGGATGGAGATAGAACAGGAGGTCTAAGATTCCTGTGGGGCACCATTCTCTTCCCCGACCACAATCATAAGGAGAGTATTACGTAAGAGAATGACCCTCTGTTTCCTAACAATAACAGAAAAATTGACAATCTGAAGCAAGAGATGCTCAGACTTTTAGAAAGTTGTTAAATATTGAAATGGGATAGCAGAGAAACAGTGGAATCCTCTTGTCAGGAGGTTATTAAAACTAGGGACAACTTTCATTTCGATGGTATGATTTCAAAGGAAGACAGGGAGTATCAACCAACACATTCCTATCTTGTGACAGGTGAAGTTTTTCTTTCCTACCTGCCTAGCTGTGCTACATTAATTGGCCTCTTGACAAGGCATGAAACTTTAATCTTCTTTTAAAAATTATTTAGCAATCCAATCACAGTTCAACAAGATAAGCTATTTTAAGTGGAAAATATTAATTTCATTAGGATGTATAAAATATTTAAAATTATCCAACCCAAGAAAAGAAAAAGATAACTAAGAATAGTCCATACTAAAAAAAAAAGAAATCTCTGTAATGACTTTGTACTTGCTTTGTTTAAATCACTTGTTTTTTTTTGTTTTTGTTTTTGTTTTTTCTGGTTGTCAGGATCAGCAGAAGTATGTGTTTCCTAGAATCAGAGAAACCATCAATAGCCAATAGAATACATTCACGCAATTACAAAAGCCATACACATGTAAGTCAAAATTTCAGGTAGGGGAAGAAAAAGTTTAGCAATTTACACATTAGAAGAGCTACATAAATTCTCACCAGGATAATGCAAACACTCATAAAGATGTCCTCACATGGGCAATCAGCTGGTTAGTAATCCTAAAAATGGGACACAGGGAATGTAACTTATAGATTGCCTATTCACATGTAGAAGCAATAGGTACTAAGAGAAATCAATTTCATCAGGTTGAGGTGGATCACAATGTATGTGTCACCTGCACTTGAAGACCCTGATCTGCTATGTGTGAGGGTGAGGGAAAGTCTCAGGATGCTGGAAATCCCCAGAGCAGTGCTTGCCCCATGTCGGGGCCCCCAGGAGGCTGGCACCAAGTGGTTAACTTGTTGAGCAGGCTTTGTAGAAAATATGTTCGATGTTAATCTCCTAAAAAACATCCAACCACATTGCTGACCCCACATCTCAGAATGCAGCAATCTTTATGTGTGAAAGAATGCATTCTTTCCAAGTGGACACTTCACACTTCAGCAGTAATGAGCCTGAATGTGGCTGCAGTCATGTGTCATTCCAACCCGAGATAAACAGATTCAAACGTGCCTTCTATGATGACCTCGCTTACTGTGGGAAGCCTCACTGGGACGTTTTTCAAATCATGGCATATTTAAGATTTTAATGGTCTTTTGATTTCTGTGCTAGAGTATTTTATCATCTCTACCGACCCTCAGAATTCTCTTTGTGAGGTTTTATTTTGCCTTACATGGCTCTTACAAGTTGCTCTTTTAAAACGGAAGAGCTCTTGTACCAAATATTGACACTGTTTGTTTTCCCCAGTCATAATGAAATAGGCGCTAGTTGATTCACATTCATTTCTGTTATCTGAAACCTCTATGAAACTCTAATGGGGTAGATCCGGTTTCCTTCCAAAGGATCTGCTGCATCTATACAATTAAAATTCCATCCGTCCTAAACCATTAAAATAAGACAGCAGGACAGGCTTGCTTCTTTAAATGAACCTAATAGAAAACCACAAAGAATAGCAGCATCTCAGTATCTCTCATTAAAATAACACAAATTTCATTCTACTTTTTAAGGTGACTACAACCAAGATAATAATCGTGTGTGTGTTGAATAGATACAGATCTCTTCACATACCTGTGTGTCAGTGTGCAGCTCTGTAATCCAAAAGATAACATTTATGAAGTCCGCATTGTATAAGATACGGACAGTGAGCTCAGCGATTATTCTGGCTGCACTGAAAAGATGAAAGATGAGCAACCAACAGAGCTCTTTTACACGGAAAAGACCTCAGGGAGGATTCATAATCCTTCACGTCACTGTCTACTGGATCTAATAGAATCTGTAGACTAGGGACAAAACATTGAAATGGGCAAAGAAATTTACATCACATCAATGACAGTATTATATAAATAGGGTTAAACTTTCAACAATAAAATTGCTTAGGATTTAATAGTAATTTGCTTTCTATAAATGATTTCGTCCCTCTGGTGTGACCTGAGAGGGAGTTTACAAGCATCAGGTTGGTTGGAAAGTGGGAGATTATTTCTGTGCAATGGCTGTGTTTTTTAATACACTAAGAAAAAAAAAAATCAGTTGTAGAAAGCGTTGGAAAATATTCTTAAAATCCTCTAGTCCCATCATGGAAATCATCTAATTTAAACCAATCCAGTACAGAAGGTAGTCTATACATCTATACATGACACTGTAGAAATAATCTACTAACAAACTCTCCTTGTGTTTAGAATAGAAGCTATGTGAAGGGACCGAGCATATTTTTATCTGTGTATTCTTCAAACCCAGCACTGTGACTGGCACGTAAAAGACACCAGATGTTTGCTAAATGAATGAATGAATTTTCCATTCATAGGGAAAGAGAAAAAGACTTCCAGCATTACCCATGTGTCTTCGGGTTCTAAAATCTTCATCCCCATTGAAGTCCAGACTGAATGTGAAATTGGTCATTTAAATGAAGGACTTTGGCGACTGGTCCCAATAGTCATAGAGCTGCCTGAAAACTCTGTCCTGACAATCACTATGTATAAACCAGCACCTCTACTGAATAATAAAGAAAAAAGCAAAGGAAAGAAAGAAAGAAAGGAGTGTGAAAGCCAGTTTGCATGGCCAGATGGCTAATGAGAAGAGGAGGTAATTTTTAAAAATATGTAAGTTTTAAGTGAGAGTTTAAAAAAAAAAAAGTTACTTTAACCTCTGCTTTAATTTCCTACCCGATGGCTTTGCCTGCAATTTACAGTGTGGGATAATCCTTGAGAGATCAGAATTCCTTAGCTTGACATTTGGGCTTACTACTAAACGGGTCACTCATCCCACTCTAGACATTTCCATCTCTTATAATGCTCCAATTTAGTGTGTCAGATCCAGCTGGAACAAATCCCTTATTGTTTCCTGCACATTTTCCTCTCATTTAGCATTTTATATTCATTGGAGGGCACCAACTTTGCATGTCAAAAAGTGTGCTTACCTTGGGATACTGAAAGGGGGACCATGTGCTCCTATGCTCAGAGATCTGATTTCAAGAGGGGAAAATGCAATTATATTGATTACTGTAGTACCTGGTAAAAATTAATTACCATATTTCATCCAATCTAATATGCCAGTGATAGTAAAATGCAGCGTTCATTTATGTAACTGCTAAGAGAGGAAAAGCATGGCCAATTAAACAATACACTAGCAATTGTTAGGCCCGACCTGATTTCGCAAGTTAAATGTGAAAAAAAAATGGTGCATCTTGAAATCAATGAAATATAGCGGTATTCATAAGTTACAAAGGGCTGGCAGAGAAGGGCGATCACATCTGGGCCGAGAAAACTACAAAAGAGAGGCATGGTGAAGGGGATGCCACGTGAACCAGGCCTTGCAGGGTGGGGAGTTTTCTGTAGGTGGAGACAGTGGCATGGACAAAGGCTTGAAGTAGACTGTGAATGTGTAGGGAGTAGAGGTTGCCATTAGGTTAGAGCTTAAGGTGCAGGATGGGAAGAAATGAAAGATTAAGACAAGCTGATGCCAACGAGAAGGCAGTGGGGAATCCCCTAAGATTTGAGTGTTGTATCATAACCCACAGAGACCATTAATGTGGTAGTGGTGTCTAGGATGACATCACAGCTATGCTCAAACCCTTCAGTGGATTTGAGTTGGACCAAACCCAGACTTTTTTTCAAGGAAGCTAAAACTCTCAATGATCTGGCCGTCACCTCCCTCCCCAACCTGTCCCACTGCTCTTGACCACGGATGCTCTAGCCAAGCTTGAGCCAGTCACGGTCTTTCTACCTTGAGGTGGATGTACGCTGCTCCCTCTGCCTGCGCCACTCTTCCCTGGGAGGAAGGGACCTGCCCTGGCCAACCCCATCCCGAGTCTACTATTTTCCCATTCAAGCCTCTGCAGGCTTCCTTCCTAGCACCCATCACAACTTCAAGTGTTTTTCTTCCCAGGTTGATTTGCTTTTGTCTCCCTCCTTGGAAAGAAAGGTTCATCTGTATAGCAACCATATCTCTCTTAGCATCTGTTGTATCCCACAGCACCTGCAGGGAGCAGGCATTCTATGAGCATTCGGTGAACGAATAAATGAGTGTCTGACCCCCTCCTTCCCTACCGCATATTCAGCTCTAAGCCAGAAGGCCAGATGGGCCCCAGACCTACTCAGTCTCACCATCTGGAAAGAAGGCAATTGCCTAAGAATGTCTCTCTGGGATGAGGAAACCCTTCACTGTCAGGTGACAATCAAAGGACAAGTCTCAGTCCATCCAAGGACACTGCCACCTTCCTCTCCTTTCAGTGACCTGCTCAGAAGGTGCATAGGTTGTTGCTGATGGCAGCACCCATCCCTCCTCATCAAGTGACTGCCCTGTCTTCCTCCCTCCCTGATGCAAGCCCATCAAATAGTGTTGTCCTCACTCAATCCCGCCACAAATCTAGTGTCATGCTGAACGGTGGGCCTGTTCCATTAATTTTGACTGCCTTATTAGAAACCCCTTACTTGTGAGGATTACAACGTCTGGGAAACAGTTCAATAAAGAACAGCTATTGGGCCCATCATTGGTCTCTGAATGCTGCTCCATCATATGACTGAATGGGCCTCAAGGGAGAGGTGAGGGATCATACCTGTTTCATTACCATCATAGCTGGTGCTGAGAACAGAGGTCCTCAATTAACATTTAATGATTGAATGAGGGAAAACATCAAATAAGACACTCTTCCCATTGGGCTCCGTTATATAATCAATCATACTCTTCTCTTAAATCCAAAATATCTGTAAGCTTTTCTTTAGAGCTTTTTCTTTAATAACAGACACAAAGAGATGAACTGAGTTAGGTAGCAAATTAAATGGCTCACATAAGGTTCTCATCCAGGCTGCATTTCTCTTGAGCATTCCACCAAATGCCTTCTAAATGGCCTGTTGGCAGGTCCTCTGTGTTCAGGAAGCAGATTTGGAATGTACCCTCTGGATCTCTGTCTGGCTGGGGGCACTCCACATCTCCCTGACAGAAGGGGCCTTCTATGAATTTCTGGGCAGTGCCTATGTCTCCCTGACCTAGAGCAAGCTGACCGGATTCATCAATTGTAGTATAGGACCATCTGCACCCCATATTGCTTGATATCAGGCCGTTGCTTCTGCCAACAAGAACAACATCTGTTGTGTCTACTGTGGCTCAGGAGCCCACTAAATCATGAGCAGCACCCCCATGTCTCAGTTCTCCATAAACCTTGCAAAGAGGCAGAAGGCATCTGTGTTCATGCTGCATTCTGCAAGCCACTTCAGCTTCCCACCCACCCCAATTTGGCACACATCTCCCAGACTGGGAGGGAAAAGTGGTGGGAAATTTTTTCTCTGACACTACTCTATTATCTGGACAGACTTCTTCAGCCCCTGAGCTATTTCACAGAACCCACTGAGGTCACAAGGTGATGCCAAGCCTGTGGATGAAACGTGACTTGGCAGCACCCAACTGTCCTGGACCTCAGCATTTGATCACTATGGATCTCAGAGCTCAATGTTGACCAGAAGGAAATGATTTCCTGTTCACCTGGGTTTGCTCTTAAGGATTTATTCAGATCCAGCCTGGCAGAGTCCACCCGAGCGTCACTAACTGCAGGTGCTTCTCTATCGAGTTTCTCAGTGCGTCACCGCTCAGCGATGAAGCACTGGATTGAAGTCCAATAGTATCAGCCAATGCCAAAAACAAGAGGACTGGTCTTCAAGAAAACAGTAAACAAAGCAGTTTGGAAATTATGCAAGAAAATTTTTAAGAGGATTCGGTTCAAGTTAATAAATGCTGTCTTAAAAAGTTGATGCCAAGCCACCCAAAGTGAACGAATACTATTCATTTGTGCAGGAGAGAGCATCAATTTAGAAATATTTTGCTTCATTTTTGCCTTCGTTACTACATTCTGGAACTGAGATACATATCTTCCTCCAAATTAAGTGGCCAGATGAGAACAGTCTCAGTTCTGAAAAACTTAGGTACCTGCAGCAAGCTCTCATGGAAGTACACATGGTGGCACTGACCAACTTGACTGACTGGAGCCAAGGTCAAGGACATGTGCCCCCCCCTCCCCCCGCTTTATTTTATGACCACAGCCTGAAAACCTAACCCTAGCCAGTTCAAATGACAAATCATTGGCCCTAGAACCCTAGAAAATGTGGGTTAAATATAATTTCCTTAAATTAATGAAGTTTTAATGAATCAATTTATTGGTTGGTTTGTAAAACAAAGTCCAATAAATACTTCTATCATGCTCCTGCATATGGAAATAAGACAGAATAATAAAAGGAACCCCAGGATAACTAGAAGTAAATATATCAATCCATCCCCAAACCCTAGAGGAAAAGAAAGGTGCTTTTATAGTAGGGGAGAGCTACAATCAAACCCCCAGAGCTTAATAAGAAGAAAACAAAGACCTTGCCACCCAGACATGGTTTAGACTGGGCCTCCCAGACACCATGGGCAGGGGAGGGACAGAAGAAGAGCTTTTTCAGGATATAAATGTTAGAGATTTTGTGAGACACTCAGGCTACAGGGACAAAGGCCATTCTGTGAAGGAGATGTGAGGTCTAATGTAACATTTTATGGACATTATTGATTATCTACAAAATTTTCCACTGGAATTATCTGACTCTTTTTTAAAGTCTGTATTTAAAAGCTCTCTCCATAAGAGTTCAAAGAATGCTCCTATTTACTATCTCATTTGTCTCCACTACTCACTGTGAAGTAGCAAAGATAAGGATTATCCCACTTTATAGTACAGGCATCTGAGATAAAGGATTGCAGTAAATCTGACATGTTTGGAAGTGGGTATGTGAGGAGGGAAGAAATCATATGCCAGGGTGGCTTCTTTTAGATCACACACACACACACACACACACACACACACACACACACACACCCCTTCCTTTATCGTAATAACACTCATCTCTTTTGGATGAGAGAAGATATCCTGATAAAGTTAATATAAACAACTCCAAAAGAACCGTGCAGTAGAACTTCATCAATTCAGGACTTCATGATTTTGGAATGTATGCTTATTGATGACACCTGACCCTTCAACATTTGCACCTATCAATAAGTGATCGGTTCCTTAAGCAAATGCAGATGACACCTAGGTCAGGGCACAGGCTCAACTGTGAATGAGAGTAGAGAATAAAATCAAAATCCTTTCAAGTTTTAAAGACTCTATGATAATATGCTTTTAAGCACCAGAGACATTATCTTTTTTTTTTTTTTTATAATCAGTGTAACTATAAGTCAAGGAGAATAGATTTTGGCTGGTGCTCTTGTCAACTATAAATCATGGCTGCTTATTTATTAAAGTAAGCTGAGCGGTGAGGACTACTCTGCCAGCTCATTACCAGTTGCTGTAGGTATTTCAAAGTAATAGTTCTAATCTTATAGGATGCCTGCCTAGAAGAGACCTTAATTTCATCATTGTCTATACTCCTTATTTATAAGGAAGGCCCAGAAGAGTTAAATAACTGGCACACTAACATTCAGTTGGAATCAAATAGCCCTTCTTCAAAAAAAGAAATCATAACTTTGATCTTTTCAATAATCTGAACAGGACTTCCCTGAATTAATCCAAGTGACTAGCAGTTTTCTGAATTCTACTTTATACAGAATTACTGATTTCGCACCTGACCCTGTCCCCTACTTTGATTGGCTGAGATGTGGCGACCATCACAAATCCACAACATAAATAAACCTTGAGATGGATAATTGAGAAAGGAGTATAGTAATTTTAACAAATTAGCTTGGCACTCCAGCCTTAAAATGAGGTTATTCCATTGAACAAGCTGCTCTCTCCTCTCTCCCTCCTTTGGAGTCATTGCCAGATTTTTGCCATCCAAAACCTTGGAATTCGCAGTAGCCAAAGTTTTCATGTTCTATGTTGGAAATTTCGAGTAAGCTTGTTACTCTTCGGCTACTGACCAATTAAAACCAGTACATGATGTGGTGAGAGAAAGTGAGTGAGGTCAAGAGGTAATAATTAAAAATGATGTAATGAGATGATCCAATCTCCCTAGGCCTGCCAGAAGGCCCACTGGTGACCACGTTCCGAGTTTCTCTGTATCACTCTGGCGTCTGGCCATGGAATCTGTGAAATAAAGTCACCTCTAACCCTAGCAGGGGTTTCTCTGGTTCCTGAGCTGGTTATTACAAAGTCTAAGTCTAAGGGAATTACTTTATAATTTTCCTTATGCTACATGTGGTGTGGTGGCAAGGATTATTTTGAAATAGTTTTTCTCAACAGGTGGAGGTCTGTCCTTGTTCCTGCAACCAAAGCACAGTGTGTGGCAAGCAGCAGTGCCGAGTGAGTGAGTGTGGAAGGAACATCTGAGGATTGTCCCCAAGATGAATGGGACTGGCAAAGTGTCACTGGCATTGGAAGTAGGAAGCAGACTGTTGGGAACAGGTAGAACACGAACCCTAAATTAGTGTGGTTTTGCTCATTTGCAAAAATGATGTGAGATACTTGCTGAGATGCTCATGCGCACTGTATCAGAAACAGTGCTGGACTGGAAGGGTGGTCACCCAGAGCCAACTCTAAGGGGCTGCATGACTGCGAACAGGGACTTGACCTCTTTTGGCTTCAGTTCACCATCAGTAAGGTGAGGAAAGTGGTCCAGACCATCCCTGTGGTCCCCGCTGGGCTCGAAGTCCTCACCCTCTGGTCTTACATCTGGTTCTGCTTTGTGACTCATGGCAAGAACTTGGCTGAGTGGCCTAAAGGTATACCCTGTGGCCTTCAAATACAAGAAGCCTAATGGACTCTACAGAAATAAGGACATATGTGGAATATAGGTTGACTTTTGTCATCATTAAATCCAAGACTTGGTCTCCTTGGTACTTCACACCCCACCAAACAAGTCAACTAGTTAACAGACTATAAGATTAGACTTAGAGAGAGTACTAGAGCATATTTAGCTTAAGGGAAAGAATGACAGGCACAAGATCTACAACACAATGGCAGTAGAAGTCACCCTATCTTAGGGGAAGGACATCTGATCTTTACAAAAATCAACGTATACATCTGATCTTTTCAATAACCAGTTTCTATGTTTCTCAAAGCATCATGATGGAACAAATTACCAGATAAGATTGTTTAGTAAAAGAAAAACACACATAAAACAAAAAGGTAGAATCTAGAATAAATTTGCTTTTCATTTTGAGGTTCTCTATAACTTGTATCGGTCTCTTCTTTTTGTTGCTGTTATTAATAAAGTCAAGGTCTAAGAGATGAACCAAGCCATCTCCTGGCACATGGAACTTACTACTCATGCAATTTGCACTCCAAGAAAGAGATTTACAGACCCACTGAGAAAAATAAATCAAAAGTATGCTTGTGAATAATGTCCAATGAGAACAGTGGTGTGATGAAATGTCGCCATTTGCAGTTGGATGGTTTATTACTCCCTCTCAGCACCCACTCTTGTTTCTCACCTCAAACACAATTTCACATTGGTATAATTTATAAGCATCAGTTTGCCAAGGTTGATTGCTAACCTTAACTTTTCACTCAATGAATTCTTAGGTGCTTATTAGGATTAAAATACATCACCTCTTAGAATATTAGCTCCTTAGCCTCGGATGCCAAGAGAAAGCTGAAGCGACTATACACTTCATTACTCGGGATGTGTAACAGCTCATGTTTTGTGTGGCGGATGGGAGGGGGGTGCTGCCCGTGTTAGATTTATTTTGGAGACTGAGAACTTAGGGACACATTAAATAGAGCATACATTTAAAAATAAGCACCACCTGAAATTTCCAGCGTGTCATCTCCACAAAGAGTATGATGACGTATATTTGTTGTAGTTACTGCAAAGTTTCCTATTGCTTTACCAAATACTCATTATTGGGTTGGTTAGTCTACATTGAAACATATTACAAATAGGTAGTACTTAATAAAGTATTCTTTCAAGGAGACACTGAGATCTAGATTCTTAGAATTTAAATTGACAAACAAAAATAAACCCTAAATCACATGACAAAGAGAAACAGAAACAACGCATTGGAGTTCTGTTTATGAGCCTATGATTGTGCCGATACCTGGGAAACAGAACGAATTATCCAGAAAGATTTGAATAGCTTTGAATAAGATGATTATTTCACAGAATTAGTTCACTAATTTGGAAATCTAAAGATTTGATTCAATGGTGAATACAGCAACCTTCTTTTGTTTAAAAAAAGTCACTTTAATTTGCTTACAGAGTAAATATTTTATGAAATGAAACTAAAATTCCATTATGTATTGGTTCTACTAAGTAGTAAAAGAGAAAACATTTATTTTATAAGTATCGCTTTTTTTCTGGCAAAATAGAAACTTCTTCACTATGAAGATACCCTCAGAGGTAAGGTTTAGGGCATACGGATGGTTTTTTTCTAATTAGAATGTCCATTATGTACCTGATAAGAACTTAGGAAAAATTAGTTAAAATATTGTGACAGCAAGACAAAGCCTAAAATTAATATTCCTATAGATGAGGAAGGGGGTGATGCTATTTAGCATGCTTAATGCAACAGTGTGGGGAACAGGGTGAAAAAAGTACTATTCTTCTACCAAGCACAGAAGGGACTTTCCTGCGACAGGATCAAGGCCATCTTGGCCACGAGGGTGGCAGTTTGGCTTCATCCTCATAAAATCTGCCAAAACATTCCTCCCTTGGGCCACCAATGTGTTCCCTCTGGCAATCCAGATGGCACTCTTCTTTTTAAGGACTTCTCTGCAGAATGTGACATTACTGATCCCACTGGCCTCCTCCATTTTTGAGATTCCATAGATGTCTGATTGTGTCCAACCTCCTCCCCAGGATCCTCTTCACTGCTTGCTTCTTTGTCTATCTCAAGAACTATTTCATTTTCACCCTGGGTGCTCTCCCTGGGCAATCTCATCTGCCCTCATGGTGTTAACTCTTACTCCAGGCTATAGACTTCCAATCCTAAATCTCTATCACCTTTCTTACAAATGATAGATTTGACTCCAACTGCGTACTTGCTATCTCCCAAGGATACCTCAAATTCAACATATGTCAAACTGAACTCATCATGTTTTCCCCCAAATCTACTTTTGCTCCTCACTCTCTCATTTAGAGGCGCCTCCATCCACCCATACATTCAAGATGGGTGCCCAGGAGTCACCTTCAACACCTCATTCCCTACCATTGCTCTCCCCTTTCCAATCAGCACTAAGTCCCACTCATTTGACTTCCCCGGGGTTTTCTGGCTTTGTCTTCTGCTCTCCTTCTGTTCCATCCCTACCTTAGCCCAGGCCCTCATCTCTCTGCTGGACAATGTGATGGCCCTCCTTCTCCAAGTTCTATCCCATGCACTCTCTTCGTTGCCACCCAGCAGTGTACCTAAAAACACAAGTCTGGTCACATCGCTCCTGATTAAACTCCCTCAATGGCTTGTCATCAGCTGTGGGGTTGAATCTAAGTGGCTTCATGACAAACTAGCCCTTTGTAGCCAGGACCTTGCCTCTCTGTCCAGCCACATCCCTCTGCCTTGGGGATCCCTGAACTAACAGGGCTGTTTTACCACTGCCTTGCTTTGTTCCTCCATCCCCTCAGCCTGGAGCACTCCCCAGTCACACTCTCTAGATCATCTTCCCAGGCCAATTCCTTCTTCTTAGGACTTGACTCTGTCCTTCAAAAACCCACACTGACCATCTCAGACCAGGCCAGGGTCCTTCCTTGTGGTTCTGGCTGCCCTTGCACATGCCTCTTTCAAAATCTCAAGAGTGGGGATGAATGAAAATTGTCTGCCCTTGTGTTTCTCCCCATGAAAGGTTACAGACATGGGGACTATGCTTCATTTCCTTTATGTCTGTAAAACCCAGAACACAGCAGGAGCTTTATCTCCCGTGCCTGGCAAAGAGATGTTCAACATGCTTTCCTTCCTTAACTGGGTGGCTGTTATTTTGCAGTTTAATAAACTGGAAAAACATAAATGTTTCCTGTCAAGGACTCCTGTGTTCCCATGGATAGTACTGGAATCCTGAGGTCTTGGAAAATTTCTCTATAGAATAGGGAGAGCCTTTCCAGGATTCAGAAATACTATAAATGGGTCTTTTCACACTGTTGGGTATCCCTTAGAAAGTGATCCTTCCTCCATGTTCTCTTCTTATGAGCAGTATGGCACAGTGAAGTCAGACCAACCTGTGTCCAAATCCCTGTCCTATCACTTACGACCCTGGGCAAGTGAAGGCTCTTCCAACTCCCTGCCTCACATTTCCTCACCTTCAACCTAGGGCTGAGAATACGATCTCCTAAGGTTGTAAATGTGGCAAATTTATTGTAAGGTATCAACTAACATATTACTTTCCCATACCCTTTACATTCTTCTTCTCCTTTTTTTTTTTTTTTTTCTTTTGGGACAGGGTTTCATTCTGTCACCCAGCCTGGAGTGCTGTGGTACTATCACAACTCACTGCAACCTGGAACTCCTGGACTCAGGCAATCCTTCTGCCTCAGCCTCTGGAGGAGCTGGGTCTAAAGGCATGAGCCACCACACCCAGCTATTTTTAAAAAAATTTTTAGTAGAGAGGCTATGTTGCCAGGCTGGTCTAGAACTGTTAGGCTCAAGGGATCCTCCTGCCTTGGCCTCTCCCAAAGTGTACATTCTTGTTGTTACCCCATGACACTTTTCTATTTGGGCTACTAGACATGAAGCAACCCATTATTCCAGACAGAAATCCTTACAGCAGAACAAGAGAACCAAATGGCCCAACTTTTGGCTTTCAAGTTTCAAGAGTCAAGACCCTTGATAAGTAATAGGTTTGACAGAACACATGCTGAGCCAGGTGTACCTCCCTCCACTCCTTCCCAGACACAAAAAGAATCTCCAAGTCAAGGGGCCATAAGGAGCAAGAGTGAAGAGCATCAGTGCCACAGGCCTCTGAGTACGAGCCTTACCCATGGACAGAGCTTGCGAATGAGAGCAACAGAACTCCCAGATAGGCCTGTGGATCCTGTGCTGGGGAATAGGCAGCTGGCAGCTCTGAAAATGCCATGCAGTATGAAAGCAGCAGATGCGAGCCTGGACTAGGTGGCTGGGGCTCAGGCAGAAACACAGACACATCAGCAGGCATCAGGGTTGAGGGAAGGCAGTGCCTGGGGACAAGATGAGAAGACTGACAGCCCGTGGATATCTGGAATCATGGCGACTGAGGATGGTCACACGCCTCTCACTTCTTTGAAGCCATGTGAACTCCCCATAAATGAAAAGCAACCCCATGGAGGAGGACTAATAAGACTTTGTTTTTTAATAGGCTTTATCTTTTAGAGCACTTTTGGGTTTACAGCTATGCTGAGCACAAGGTACAGAGAGTTCTCATATGCCCCCTGTCTGCCTCCCACCAAGCACAGCCTCCCCCATATCAACATCCTGCACCAAAGTGGTACATTAGTTATCATCGGTGGACCTACACGGACACATCATTATCACCCAAGGTCCACAGTTGACATTAGAGTTCACTCTCGGTGTTGTATAGTCTATGGGTTTGGGCAACCGTATAATGACATGCATCTACCATTGTAGTATCATACAGTATTTTTACTGTGCTAAAAATCATGTGGGCTCCATCTATTCATCCCTCCTTCCCCCAAACCCTTGGCCACCACTAATGTTTTTACTGTCTCTACAGTTTTGCCTTTCCCAGAATGTCGTACAGTTGGAACTATATAGTATGTAACCTTTTCAGTTTGGCTTCTTTAGTTAACAATATGTAGAGCAAACTCTATATTCCTCTGTAGCTTGAAAGCTCATTTCTTTTTAGTGCTGAAGAATAGCCCATCGTCTGGATGTGCCAGTTTGTTTATCCATTCATCTACAGGAATATTAAGACTTACCTGAAAAAAACTCTTAATCGACTGAGTTTTCCTGGCATTAACTGTATATCAAGTTTCTCCCATCAGGCAGAAGTGGGACAAGTGAGACAAACCAATTTATAAGATAATAAAGAAATTCTATTTCTTGCAAGTTTGTGACATGAAGATGCACAGTTGCTACATAATGAAAAAAACACGTAACTATATTTGAGCATCTGATACATGGTAGACAACAGTTAGTTTATGTTACTAGACCCTTGAGTATGAAACACTCAGCTGCAAAGGGGTTCATCTTGTCTTTGGTTTCCCTCTTGCAGTTTGTCTGCTATGGCTGAATCAAGACCTAGGCTAGAGTAAACTTCCACATGTTGGTTGTAGGGCCCATTGAAACATTTTTCATATCTGACAACCATTCCCTGCCATCAAGCATCCTCTGTTACTGGCTCTGCCTTGTTGGAATGTTGCTTCCTACAGACCATCCATGAAAAAACAGAAGGCTAAGAACATTCATTCATTCACTTTCAGATATGTAGACGCATCTGGGTATGCCTGTGTGCCTGTCTATGTGTTTGTATCTGTTTGAGTCGGGTATGTCTGTGTGTATTCCTATTTTATGCAGCCATTAGGTGGACAAGACATAATACCTGCCTGCAGTCCAGTGGGGGACACAGGTGAGTACACAGCCCACTTCAATATAGTAAAATACTGTTTAGAAGATGTGTGGTGTGGGAATATCCACCCAGAGGGAGAACTGTGAGGGTCAGTTTTACGTGTCAACTGAGCAAGGGTACGGTCCCCAGTTATGTAATCAAACACTAATCTAGGTGTTGCTGTGAAGGTGTTTTATAGATGAGGTTAATATCCTCAATCAGTTAACTTTAAGCAAAGGAGACCACCCTTGATAATGTGGGTGTTATCCACCCAGTTGAAGGCTTTCAGAGCAAAAACGGAGGTTTCCCAGGTAAGAAGAGATTCCACCTCGACACTTTGGCATCACCTCCCGCCTGAGTTTACAGCCTGCCCTACAGATTCAGAATTGTTAGCACCCTCCTCCCGCAGTTATGGATTTTGAATTGTCAGCCTCAAGATTAATTCCTTAAAATAAGTTTCCATCCATCCATCCATCCATCCATCCATCCATCCATCCATCCATCCAATTGGTCCTGTTTCTCTGACTGATACAAGAATCTAACCTGTTCTTATGAGGTCAAGGAAGTCTTACAGGGTTTTTGATTCTTAAGTAGGAGGCAAAGGGTGGCAAAGGATAAAAATAAGTAGACGGATATAAAATATACTGAGGTAGAATGGATGTGATTTGGCCATTGAAACTGGGGATAAGACAACAGGTAGGAAGGAATCTAAGATAAAGCCCTTTTTGCTGGCTTAGGAAGCTGAGTACATGGCAACGTCATTCGCTGGAGAGGGAACACAGAAAGAGTGGCAGGCATGGGGGTCACAATGAAATAAGTTTCCTACATGCTGAATTTGAGGGGCTTCTGGGACTTCCAGGTAGTGATGTTCAGAGCGCCATTAGGAGAGTCAAAAGTTCCAGAGACAGAATTCTGGGTTAAGGGGCAGCAGCTCAAGGACCAACTGAAGCGCTGGGAGGAGGTGAGGTTGCCATGAAGATGGAGAAGCAGAGAGGGCCAAGGACAGTGCCTGAAAAACACTAACATTTAAGGGGCCAGAGGCAGTGACTGTAGAGGTGACAGACAGAGATAGGGTGGCACAGAAGCTAGGGGAAGATGCTGCTCCCCACAGGAAGAAGATGTGGCAATGAGAGAGTCACTGATCCATCTCACCGAAGCAGTGGGAGTGGACGCAAACACAGAGGAGGGACTCAGAGGTCTACTGAAAATGCTTTAGGATCGTCCAAAGTCGTTGACATTAGTTAAATAAGTAGTGGAACAGGATGTGATTTGCTCTGGGATGATGGAGAAGTCACATATTTTAAGAAAGAAGGAACTTTGCCATCCTCTCATACAAGTGACCATGCCCCCTCCACCCTCTGGTGGGGTAAACCAGAGGCAAGGGAGTCAAGGGGAGCAGAAGAGAAGGAAGGGAAGTATGAGTGTAGACCATACTTTTGGATTTTGTCGGAGGAGAGGGGAGAGAACACATGTGCTTTAGGGTGAAGGGGCCAAGGGAGGTTTCTGTCAGACAGACTCAAGCGTGTATAAATGCTCATGGGAAGGAGCCTACAGAAAGGGTGGACTCGAACATGCAAATGGAAAGGGAGATAAGTGGATTTGTGAGGCTAGAAGAGCTGGGAGTAGAAATTGACCCAACAGAGTCAATCATGTTAGAATCCTCCGTGTGACAAGGACAGACCTGCAAGAAGGAGTATTGGGCCATGTGGCGATGTCCTATGGAGTGAGAGAACTGGTAGTTGTGTGGTATTCTGTTTTGTTTGTACTACAAAAGCCTCAAGGACCATGATGCTACGGACAAACTCTGCCAACACCATCAACCTGCTGTCCCTGATAGATACTAGAAAAATTATCAACCAGTAGAAGGGCAGGAGGCAGAGAAGCTTACTTGAAAACAAACTTAATATACACACACCCCAACAAGAACAGCTGTATATGTGTGTGTCTTTTTTTTTTTTTTTTTTTTTTTTTTTTTTTTGAGACAGGGTCTCACTGTGTCACCCTGGCTGGAGTGCAGTGCGATCTCAGCTCACTGAAACCTCCACCTCCAGGGCCCAGGTCATCCCCCCACCTCAACCTCCCAAGTAGCTGGGACTACAGAAGTGTGCCACTATGCCTGGGTAATTTCTGTATTTTTTTTGGTAGAGATGGAGTTTCACCATGATGCCCAGGCTGGTCTCAAACTCCCGGACTAAAGAGATCCGCCTGCTTCCGCATCCCAAAGTGTGAGGGTTACGGGCGTGAGCCACTGCACCCAGCCTTGTGTGTGTTCTCAAGCCAGTATCAAAATAAGCGGCCCACGTTCAGAAAGCTGACTGTAGCAATTAGTAAAATACAAGTGGTTTCTGGAAAGGAGCAGGGGGCATGTATTGCTCACAGAAAATGGACAGAGGGAACAGCCCTAGACAACACCTCCACAGACACTGAACAGTGCCAAGCAGCACTGGCAACCCTGAGAAGGAGCAACAGAGCAGGCCCAGGTCTTTGGACACAGAACCCAGCCAGCCTGCTCCTGCAGCAGACCCAGTTATATCAGGCTGAGTTGGTCATTTCATCAAAATGACTTGATTTTATTTAAAAAAAAATCAGTCTACCATAATCAGCAATCCAGAAGGTGTGAAAAGCTGCCTGTCTCTAGGTCCCACAGGCTCAGTGTGGGCTGGCAAGGGGTATCAGAGGGCCTAAAGAGCCTGCTTCATCTTGAAAGGATAGGAGGGTCATTCATTTTTAAAAGGCCAGCCAGGGAGAGTCTAAGAAATCCCATAAGCTGGGAAATAATTACTAACCAGCCCCGAGTACTTCCAGAAAGGAAGCCGTCAAGACACTTTGGAACTGGCTGCTTGGGAGCAAGTGACCCCCTCTCCATGAGACTCCAGGAGCACCTGCCAACCTGTCTGTCCATCTGCCCCTCAATATCATCCACATATTTTCACATCAATGATTCATGTGAATTACCGTCTCATGGGTCTCATTCTTCTTTCCATTTTTCTACCCATGTTTAAACTTCCCCAGTTATACCTTTTATAATTCTATGATAAAATACAATTTTATTTTTCACAGTATCTTTGGAAATGTTTTTCTTTGACCTTTTCCTCTACATATACGCCTGGTAAGAGTCATGCACTACAAAGATTTTCTGGAGGAGGCACAGGTGTGGTTGATTCTTAAAAGTAGATTACATTTCCAGAACCTCAGTTTCCATATGAACTCCTTCCTGAAACCGATTAGCCTGAGATTGCTCATTCAGTTCTCGTTTCCTCCTCCCCTTTACTGACCAGTGTAGTAAAGCCTTTGGGGAGACGTAGGGCTAGGGGTACAGAATCCCTGCTGTGCGAGATGAACGAGTTCTGAAGGTCTAGCATACAGCATGCTGACTATAGTTAACAACACCGAGGTGATGGATATGTTACTTGATTGTACTGGATATCTTACAATGTATACATAGGCCAATCATCAAGTTGTATACCTTAAACACATACAATTAGTTGTCAACTATACTTCAATAAAGCTGGAGGAAAAAGCTCCTTGGGTTGCCAAATACAAGGAGTAATTTGACAATGCATTCCTGAGGAAGCACCTTGGAGAGCAAAGCACAGAACACTTTAAAAAAAAAAAAAAAAACAGAGATAGGATGGAATAAGGGGTGGGAGGGATCTTATTTCTACCAGGTGACAAACTCACTGCCTTTTCTATCTACGTATCTTAGGAATTTTAGTTCAGAAGCAAGATGATTATTTGAAATGACATGTTAACACATTTACTTAAATTTTAAAAACAAAGTCACTCCTTCTGATTTGCTTCATCCTAAGGACTGGTTTTGCTGCCATTTGTTTTACAATGATGAACATTTTCCAAGTATGAAGGAGAAAAGTCCATAACTTTGACTCTTTGATAATACACTTAAAGCATATATACAGTGTTACAATTCATAGGATATTACACCCTTTAAAACTATCCAAGTTTATTTTTAAAATTCTTTAGTTCTCGGCATAAAAACATACAGAGGGGTCCCCCGTTGTTGAGCCTAGACATAGAAGACAGGATTTGAAGGCAGCCAGTCATTTTCCCCATTGTGTACCAGCACACAATAGCATACACTGTGTTTCTTAAGTTAGTGATGGTATACACATAGTTTGGCTGGAAAGACTGAAGTATGATCCCCAGTTCTTTCCATACAGGATGCATATGATGACTCTTGGTTTCAGCTACAGCCTTAACATGTGGTCTATCACTAATGCCCTCAAATAATTACTACCAAGCCTTTGGCCAAGAACACTTAAAGGTCTAAAGGTAATTGAGCCCCTGACAACATGTTTCCAAGGACTCCATCTTCTTCCAGTGATTCAAGAAATATATTCCAGAGTTGTGCAAAGAATACCCATACCTGAGGGTCTGAACTATTCTTGTAACTAAACATTCATCATCAGTTTCTAATATCTCTAAAGGGTCACATTTATTACATGTGGTGTGAAACTATACTTAAAGTTATATCAGGCTGGGTTGATCGTTTCATCAAAATGACTTGCGTTTCTTTAAAAAAAAAAATCAATCTACCATAGTCAGCAATTCAGAAGGTGAAAAAGTCATGCCAAAAATAAATGCAAACCCACCTATCAGCAAAAAGGAAGGATGGCTCTAGAAAGAAAGTGCCAAGGTCAAGTGAGTTTTTGTGCAAGAAATCTTGTTATTACTATAATGAAAGCCATAAACATTCCATAGGAGTTGAGAGGCAGGAATTCAGGGAAGTTATACTAGTGTCTAGCATTTACTAAATTGAGAATCTTCATGCCAACCTAACACGCAAATATGCTAGAGCTGAATGAGACCATGACCGTTTCAGACAGAGCAGCCACGGCTAAGAAAAAGTGGCCAAGTAGCACACCACACAAAGCAAATGGCACCTTGGTTTGCTAACAGGATTGCAAGCAAATAGATCCCTGCTCTGAGTGAGGAGTCTAACAGATTCCTCTTCGAGCTTTTTTTGCAGCCTGCAACAATTCATCTGTCAAAAAAGTACATGAATGGGAAAAATCCAGTGTCTGAGCCAAGGACTGTGTTGCAACTGTCTAAGATTTTTGAGAGCTGGCCAAACACGCCTTTAAGGATTGTTTTCACTCTCTTGGCTTTGCAGCACCTCATCCCTAAATACTTGATAACTGTTTTAGAGGTGTAGCTCCTTTTCAGACACTGACTCACTCAGGCGCTTCCAGAGAAGTTCAC